>NC_000011.10:37484242-37635757 GCF_000001405.40 Homo sapiens | reverse complement strand
AGTAGAATAATTGTTACCAGAGTCTGGGGATAGTAGGGTGGAGGAGGGATGGGGAGAGTTTTCATCAATGTGTACAAAATTTCAGATAGGAGGAATAAGTTCTAGTTTCTATTGCTCAATAGGGTGATTGTTGTTAACAGGTCTATACTGTATTTTTCAAAATAACTCCAAGAAAGGATTTTGAATGTTCTCACCACAAAGAAATGATAAAAGTTTGAGGTGATAGATAAGCTACATGCTCTGATTTGATCATGACACAATCTATACATGTATTATAACATCACATTTTACCACATAAATATGTATAATTTTTATGTACCAATTAAAAATAAAACTTAAAAATTGATTTAGTTGTTAAAATCCTTGTCATAATAAAGCCACCAGTCTGAGAGTTTTATGATTTAGTTCTATCAAAAACTCCAGGTATAGATACATAAAATTTTATATACATAGAAAGTTTATTATAAAGTTAGATATACAGTTGTGAGTTACATGTCATTAAGCAATTTTCTTGCTGTGTGAATATCATAAAATACACTTACACAAACCTAGAGGTTAAAGCCTTCTCCATACCTAAGGTGTATGGTATTGCCAACTGCTCCTAGGCTCCAAACCTGTAGAGCATATTACTGTGCTGAAGACTGTAGGCAATTATAAGACAATAGTAAGTATTTGTGTAAAAAGGTAGTGTAAAATATGGTATTATAATCGTATGGCACCATCATGGCATATGTGGTCTGTTGTTGCCTGAAATAGCATTTTGTGGTGCTTTATTATGCTTAATAAACATTGAGATTTTTAAAAAATGTAACAGTTGGTCTTTCTTTCTCTCTCTCTCTCTCTCTCACACACACACACACACACAAACACACACACCCCCCACATACTCCAAGATTAATGGTAACAAGTGTTGATGAGGATGTGAAGCAACAGGAACTCTCATATATTACTGGTGGAATTGTTAAATGGGGTACAACTCTTTTGGAAAAGTTTGCTTCTTTTTTAAAGTTAAATTGGTATCTACCATACGACACAGACATTCCACTTCCAGGTGTTTACTCAAAAGAAATAAAGATATATATTCATAGAAAGATTATAAGTAAATATTCATAGTCAAAAAGTAGACAGTACCCTGTCTACTTTGAGCACTCACATACTGTGCCCCATACTTATATATTGTGCACCCCCTCATATTTATATGTTGAAGTTCTAGCCCTCAATACTTTAAATGTAATTGTATTTGAAGATAGGGTCTTTAAAGAAGTAATTAAGTATAAGTGAGGTGCTTACAGTAGGTCGTAATTCAAGATGACTTGTGTCCTTATATGAAAAGGAGATTAGAACACAGAAGTGCACAGAGGAAATACCATGTGAAGACACAGAGAAAAGACACATGTGGAAGCCAAGGAGAGAGACCTTAAAAGAAATCAACCTTGCCACTACCTGAATCTCTGACTTGGCCTCCAGACTGTTGGCAAATAAATTTATGTTTTTTAAGACATCTAGTCTGTGCTACTTTGTTGTGATAGCCCTAGAAAATGAATGCAAATTCATTAACAGATAATGAATTAAAAAATGGGAGGTTGCCTATATAATGCCCTACTACTCAGTGATAAAAAAATAAGTCATTTACACATGCAACACTGTGAATGGATGAACCTATAAGTAATTTTTTTAAATAAAATAAGCCAGATGCCTCTCCCAATTATATTGTCCATTATTCCACTTATAAAATTATAGAAAATACAAACTACTCCATAGTGACATTAGGCTGATACTTATGGGAAATGGAATGGCAGGGATGGTGTCTTAATCCATTTTGTGTTGCTACAACTGAATACCTGAGGCTGGGTAATTTCAAAAGAAAAGAATTAGCTCATGGTTCTGCAGCCTAGGAAACTCAGGAAGCATGGCGTCAGCATCTGCTCATCTTCTGGTCAGGGTCTCGTGCTGCTCCCACTCAACATGTAAGCAGAAGGGGAGTAGGCCCGCGCAAAGAGATCCCATGGCGAGGGAAGAAGTTAGACATTTTAGCAACCCACACTCACAGGAGCTAATCCATTCTCCAGACAGCAACAACTTACTCATCCCCATAAGAAGGCACTAGTCTATAAATCTGTAAATGAGGGATCCACTCTCATGACCCAAATACCTGCCACTAGGCTCCAGCTCCCAACACTGTCACATTGGGGGATCAATGTGTTTCCCATTGACAGTGTTTCCCATTGAAATGTGATCCCTCAATATGATCAAATTTGTTTTAGTGGAAACAAATCATATGTAAACCACTGAAGACAGGTTGGAGGAATTACGATGTGCACAAGTTTTATAGGTATGCATATGTGGGAATATCAAATGGTACACTTTATACTTGTGTATTATTAATTATACTTCAATATGATTATTTAAAATAAGAAAAAAGAACGATGTTACATTATAAGTGGTACATAGTAAACACATTTTAAAAATTTTCCTGTTTTCAGAAGTTACTCTATAAACAATAGAAGTTTCACGTGGTGTTTATAAAGGGATAGAATATTTCCCAATTTAGAGATAATGTTTCTATAATTTATCCACTGCATCTATTTATTTAGTTTTTGATATTTTTTCCCAAAGAATATGTACCACTTGGTCTGCTGAAAAACAAAATGAAACAAAACAAAATTGTTTTCCCTTCCAAATATTAACTACAAACTCTTCTTTGTTTTACAATCAAGTAGAGAAATGTGTTAGATTTGAAAAAAGAATTGACCTCTTTTTTCTGTTTCTATTCATTTTTTCCCACCAAGTCTTAAAAAGGTGTAAGAGGCAATGAGGTTAAATATGGTAAAAAGATGGTTACAGAATGTGAGAAAATTTAAAAAACCACTCCTGAATTGTCAAAACTTCTTAGAAAAATAAACAAAAAAAGAAAGTGTGAAGAAATGAGACCAATGTTATTCCTCCAGAGAGCTCATTTTCCTTTGCAAATATTTTATGAATGCCATGAAATTAACTGATTTAAGTGAATCTTCTTCTAGAAGGTTATTACAAAAACTTACCATTCTACTTTCTTATCTCTATTTCACTGAGCTTCCCTACTGTGTTTAAAACTATGTTGTTATTACCATATGGCCACTGATGTTAATAGACAGTACCAAATTAAGAGGACAATAATTTTATTAAGACTATTTTGAGTGTATTAAAAAGTATACATTTAAAGTATTTGGGAAACTTGCAATGATATTTGATCACAGCAGAAAATTCTTATCTTGAGGATAATGCTTCAATGTCTATTTCCATCTAACTTTTCACTGCTATTTCTCATCCCTCCCTTTTTATACATAGGAGAAAAATAGGATGCATCTGAACAAGTTATATTTTGTATCTCCGAAAACACTCTTGACTTTCTGGTATGTCTGTCTCATTAGTTCTTTACTAGTTAATGTTCTCTTATTTTTCAAATCATAGGTTTACTATCATCCTAAATCTTTCATAGGGCATCCTAAATCTCCCACTACTTCCTGCCTAGACAGAATTAATCACTCATCCATCTGCACTCCATGAATATGTTAAGGCATTTAAATTCAATATATATTATTTAATAAGTGTCTGTTTTATATCAGGAATTTTTTTTACATATACCTCTTCTCACTAAAATGAAAGCTTGTAGAGATTAAGAAGCATGCCATTCTTTTTGTATTCATGACACTTAACATAGCGCCTGAGATTTAGTATCGATTAATGCTTACTGAATTAATCCATTTATATGACCTTTGAAATATTGTTATTGTGGACTGTACCATTCTGCTCAGATAACTTATTCATCTAATCACTAGGCTTCTTTGCAAGATTCCTTAGTTAAAATAGTTCAGTTTCAGTGTAACAGGTATCACGTGAAATATCTAAAGGAATATATATTCCTCCTAGGAGAACCAACATATGTAAATCACATTTTCTGTTTATTATAAGAAGATTGACCTCTATGTATAGGTATTTTCACAAACCTTCTATTACCTTTTATGAAGGACTTCACTTTTAGAGAATCATGATAGCATATTGGCTCAGCTACAGAGTTGAAGTCAGAGAAAAATGTATTCAGATGCCAGTTATATGACTTCGTGTTGTGTCTTGTGTAAACATGTTTGCAAGCTATTTTGACTATCAGAAATTAATTTTACTTATTAGGAAAAAAGGACAATACATTCTTTCCTTTATTGATATAAGCACTAAATGAACTATGTACGTGAGATGCTGATAGAGAAGCTGCATGTAGCAAGCACTCAAATACTTTAAAAGAAAATATCTATTTACCACTGCCATGTGTCCAGCTATAAATTTGTAGTCTAGCTAAAGAACTAAAACGTGTTCACAGAAAACTGTTAAATAGAAACACACCATAGGTAAAACCCATCAGTAGAGGGAAATTCATAGATCAAACTCAAGATACCCCAGCAATGTAGTGATGCTATATAAATCTCTCAATCCTCTATCATGAAGGTTTAAAGTCAAAAGGATAAAAAACAAGCATATCTAAAATTAGTGACTAAGGAACACATAATAGATAAAGAAGTAAATTAAGGTAACAAAAATATAAATGGTCTTGAGTACTTTTTTAAAACTAAAGTTAAATTGTTATCAGCTTAAAATTGTCTGCTGTAACTACAAAACTCTTTATGTTAGCCCATGTTAACCGCAAAGAAATAAGTGACACAAATGATAAAGAGGAAGGAAACAAAGCTGAGGACCACAGAAAACTGTCAAACCATAGAGGTAAACAAGAGAAGAAGAAAAGAACAAAACAACTACAAAATAATCAGAAAATGATCAAAATAACCAAAGTGAGTTCTTATTAATCAATATTAACCTTGCATGTAAATGAATTAAATTATTCAATTAAAAGATAGAGTGGCTGAGTGGATAAAAAGCAAGCAAACAAACAAACATAAAAACAAGACCCAACTCCTTGCTGCCTGCAATACTCACCTCACCATTAAAGGCAAACATAGATTGAAGTGAACGGATGAAAAAAAAATTGCATGCAGCTTTTGCAGCTGTATTTAGATCAAATTTAAAAAAGACTTTAAGTAAAAAAATTGTAAAAAGAGAAAAGGTTAATATGTAATGATAAAGCGATCAACTCAACAAGCGATTACAATAATTATAAATATATGTACCCAATACTAGAGTACCTAGGTATAAAGCAGGTTTTTTTGAAAATTAAACAGAAACCCACCAGTAGAGGTAAATTTATAAATCAAACTCTAAATACCCCAGAATATAATGGTGCTATATAAAAAATTGACAAGCCTTTAGTGAGACTAAGAGGGAGAAAACTCACACAATAAAATCAGAAATGAAAAGAAGACATTAGAACAAATATCACAGAAATACAAAAGACAATAAAAAGCTATTATGAACAACTATACACCACCAACCTTGATAACATAGAAGAAATGGATAAATTCCTAGATACACACAGCCTACCAAGATTAAATTATGAAGAAATAGAAAATCTAAAAAGACCAATAATGGGTGGAGAAATTGAAGACGTAAAAAGTAGTATTTCAGCAAAGAAGATCCCAGGACTTGATGTCCTCACTCTTGAATTCTATCAAACATTTAAATAACTAATAACAATTTTCCACAAACTGTTTCAGAAAATTAAAGACAAGTTAATACTTCCAAACTCACTTTATGAGCCAGCATTACACTAATTCCAAAACTGGATGAGAACATAAAAAACAAAATGGAACCTATAGGCCAGTATATTTCATAAAAGTAAATGCAAAAATTATCAACAAGATACTAGCAAACTGAATCTAAGTGTGCATTAAAAAAGATAATTCACTATAATTAAGTGGGAATCATTCATGGGATGCAAGGATGGTTTAACATATGCAAATCAATGAATGTTATATACTTTATTAAGAGAAAGAGAAACAACCACATGATTTTTTCAATAGATGCAGATAAAGCATTTGACAAAATTCAAAATTCCTTCATGACAATAACTTTAAACAAATTAGGTATAGATGGTATGTACCTCGACACAATAAATGTCATACATAACAAATCTGAGACTTGCATCACAGGGAATGGGGAAAAGCTAAAATCTGTCCTAAGGCCAGGAACAAGATGAGGATGTTCCCTTAACCATTTTGTTCAATATACTACTGGAAGTCCTAGCCAGAGTAATTAGGCAAGAGAAACAAAGACAAGGCATATACATCGGAAAAGAAATAAAATTATCCCTGAGTGTAGAAAATTTTATCTTGTATATAAAAAACAATATAGGCTTCAGTAAAAAAAAAAAACTGTTAGAACTAATAGACAGTAAAGCTGCAGAATACAAAATCAAAATAAAAATTAGTGTTTCTATATAGTGTTAGTGAACCAATATGAAAAAATAATCAAGAAAACAATTTCAGTTACAATAGCTACAAAAAATTATATACTTAAAAATAAGTTTAACCAAAGAGGTAAAAGATCTCTACATTGAAAACACTATGAAATTTTTACAACAGGGGATACAAAGGGACACAAAGAAATGGGAAGGTAGTCTGTGTTAATGGATTGGAAAAATTAATATTGTAAAAATGACAATACAACCTAAAGCGATCTGCAGATGTAATGTAATCCTTGTCAAAATACTGGCAACATTCTTCGCACAAATAGAAAAACAATCATAAGATTCATATGAAACACAAAGGACTCAAAAGCCAAAGCATTCCTGAGTGGAAAAAAACAAACTTGAGACATCACACTATTCAACTCAAAATATGGTACAAAGCTATGGTAACAAAAACATCGTGGTACTGCAATGAAAGCAGACACACAGACCAATGGAAAGGAATAGAGAGCTCAGAAATAAATCCATACATTTATAGCCAAATGATCTTGGACAAAGGTGTCAAGAACACACTTGGAGAAAGGACAGTCTGTTCAATAAATGGTACTTGGAAAACTGGATAATCACACACAAAAGAATATAACTAAATCCCTGTTTCTCGCTACTTACAAAAAATTTACCTCAAAATAAATTAAAGACTTAAATGTAAGACCCCAAACTATGAAACTACTCAAAGAAAACATAGGGGAAATGTTTCAGGATATTGGTCTGGGCAAGGATTTTTTTTTATTTTTTATAAACATGTTTTATTTATTTTGCTTATACCATCAGAGCTGAAACTACTGTCTGTCATTTTTGTGAAATGGAAATCAATCTAAAACACATACTGGTGCCTTTCAAAAGATAGCAATTGAAAAGGGCGGTAGCAGCAGGCATTTGGTATCTTTTCCTTTTAAAAAAAAGTTTTCAAGCAGAAAGAAGAACATGTGACCAAGAGTGTTATGATTATCCACTAGAGATTTTCAGTCAGTACCTGTACCAATTTAGGTGACAATACTGGACAAGGATTTTTTTGAGACCTTAAAAAAGCACACAACCAAAGCAAAAATAGACGAATAAGATTGTACAATAGAAAACTTCCATTCAGCAAATAAAATAATTGACAGAGTGAAGAGACAATAACTTCAGAATAGGAGAAAATATTTATAAACTATACATGTATTCCAAGGGGTTAATATCTAGAATATATAACTAATGTAAACAGCTCAAAAACAAAATATGAAAAGACCCAATTAAAAAATGACCAGCAGGTACATAAAGCATTCTCAATATCACTAATTATCTAGAAATGTAAATCAAAACTGCACTGTGATTACCACCTAACTCCAGTTAAAATGGCTATTCTCAAAAAGACAAATAAGTAATAAATGCTGGCATGGATATGGAAAAGTGAACATACACACTGTTGGTGGGAATGTCAGTCAGTATAGCTATTATAGAAAACAATATGGAGGCTGCTAAAAAACTAAAAATGAAAGTAACATATGATCCAGCAATCCCACTACTAGATACATCTCTAAAAGAAATGAAGTCAGTATTTTGAAGAGCTATCTGCATTCCCATGTTATTGCAGGAAATGGAATCAACCTAAGTGTCTACCAATGGATGAATGGATTAAGAAAATGTGGTATATATGCACAATAGACTACTACTTAGCCATGGAAAGAATAAACTTTGTCATTGCATAAACCTGGAAGACATCATGGCAGGTGAAATGCGCCAGACCCACAGAAAGGCAAACCCAAATGATCTCACTTATATGTGGAATCTAAAAAAAGGTGACACATAGAGACAGAGTACAACAGTGGTTACCAGGGACTGAGGGAGATGGAGGGGAGGATGAGGAAATGTTGGTCAATGGATACAAAGTTACAATTTAATAGGATTAGTAAGATATGGGGCGTTCTATTGCATAGTGTGGTGACTATGGTTCACAGTAAAATAATGCATATTATAAAATAGCTACAACGGACGCTTTCGAAGCTTCTCACCAGAAAGAAATGATAAATGCATGAGGTGATGGACACACTAACTACCCTGATTGAATCAATTAACAACCTAGGTATGTATGAAAATATCAAATTGCATCCCATAAATATGTACAATTATAATGTGTCAATAACAAATAGTACAACATAGGATTTGATTATAAAATATATTGTTTTTCTGGAATATGGCACTAAGTAATTTCACAAAGAGGTGATAAAATTGTGAATTATACAAACCTGTTTTTCATTTCAAATGAGGTAGTGCAAAAGATTCACGTATGAGAGCCAATCCACCTGAGAGATTTGACAGAGAGGGAGAAAACCAGGTTGAATCTAGTAAAACATAATACTAAAACAAAATAATTGAAAATATATTTTCCTTTTTTTCTCTCTCTGAATCCATTGGGAATATTTTGATTTTAAGCACATTAGACCACCTCTATTCAGAAAATACCTTTGTTGTGTTGGCTGAGTCCTATCAGTTGATATAGGTAAATGTCACTGCCACCAACTTCAAAAGCATTTACTAGCTATAGTCTTAGAAAGCCATTTATTATCTTTTTGATTTAGGCTGCCTGTATCTGAGCCATGTTCTGATATAATTCCTGGAGGAAATTAGGCTAACAAATAACCATAAACAAAAATGAATTCATATTTTCTCAAGTTCTAACCTACTGATTCAAAAGAAAGTTGATGATGCAAAAAGATATTTTGTTTGTCTGTTTATTATTCAATATTTAATCAAGTATTTAAAGTCTATGGAATTTGATGTGAGTGTTTCTAAAAACAGTTATCAAGATCTTGGTCATTGCTATGCAAATGAAAAGCATCCTAGGAGGAAGGAAAGAGAGATGATGCAACTTATAACTGACACATTTCAATTTTTACTGATTTCCACTAAATGTAAATACTCTTGGAGATATTAACATATAGATTTGTTTGGATAAAGTTTAAAATAGTAATTTTTATATTTCTCCTTATTTCATCATCTTTTGTTTCCACCTTCTGGTAAGTAGCTGTCTACTCATTACCTCGCTTCAAGGGAGATATGTGACTAGAAGGAAAACTGACGTTAAATGTAAGACATATCCCTCACTGACTATTGTTTCCAAAAACCCAAACCTGTTATAAAAAACATGTCTTTATGCACTAAAATGTTTAACAATAAAGAGAGACATTTAGAGGAGCAGAGGATAGAACAATAAATCTTGTTCCAGAACAGTGTCCTCAAGAAGGGACCCAACTTTAGCCTGAGGGCCATGTTGAGGACTTAGGGAGGTCGAATCCTGGGCATAAGGATTCCTAGCCTCACTGTATCCCAAGCGTGGCACAGAAGCAATAGATGTAGTGGTCCTGAAGACCCATGTAACCTGGGACAATAAGAAGGCCTCTCCTGTGCTTCCACACTACCTCTTTACATCCAGGGTACTGGAGTCCCAACAGTGCCTGAGGCTGGAGTCCTCTGTAAGTCCAGGAGTATGAGAACTCAGATTCAAAATCAGATTAACTGATAAATAATTTTTTTTGTAAATTTTTTTAGCTATATTTCACTGCCTGCATAGACAGTCATTTTGTACTTTCACAATGAAGAGTTTTCGCAGCTTTAATGTTTCCTTATGGAATTCTTGCCTTGGATATTGATGTTCTATTATCCTACCTAGAAAACTGATAAAAGGATTGGTGCTTACCTGCCACCTGCAGAGTAAGCTTCTAACTTTCCATTTAGGGAAATCAAAATAGATACAGTTTTTCTCAGTATATGTGATAGATTGAGTCTGATGACTGTAAGATTAAGGCATTTTTCAAGAACAAACATGGAAGTATGTAAATAATGAGTATATAGCTTAGAATTAACAAATGCAAATATTACAAATGCAAATACTAAAAAATGGGTGTGAGGTAGTAATTAACCATCCCGAGAACTCTATGTGACAGGTACTGTGCCACTGATTATTCCAGAAAATTAATTTACTACAAATATCCCACCCTCTATGTCAGAAATGTTCTTCTCCTACTTATTGGTGTAGCTAGCTGTTGCATCCCTTTCACATTTTAATGCAAAAGGCACATTCTCGATAAGGTCTTTCCTGGCTACCTTATCTAAAATTGCAATTCCTCTTCACCAATGCTTCTTACTCCTGTTCTGTAATTAATTTTTCTCCTTAGCAATTATAACTACCTAACATACTGTATATTTTATCCATCTTGCTTATTAAATGTCTTATGCTTCCAGAGGCAAATATTTTGACTCTTTTGTACAATCCTGTATCCCAAACCCTAGATCCATGTCAGATACACTATAAAAGCACAAGTAGTTATTCATTTGTTGAAAAAAAACTAATTTTTCAATGAATCACAGAAGGAATAGAAGTTAATAGTTCTCATTTTGCCAGATGAGAAAATCAAGGTTAACATAAATTCTGTAATTTACCCAAGGTCACACAGTAAACTAAACTTTGAGTAAAATTTGACTCTAATGCTTCCACTCTTGTTACTATGACATCCTTTCATCTATTTAAAATAAAATCATTTTGTATGCACTTATGCATTAAGCTAGATGCTAAGGAATAGAAGATAAATAGGTGACCAAGATACTACCTTCAATATTGAGCTTGCATTGTAGTGAAGGAGACTGGATAATAAAAAGAATATTTCAATAAAGAGACAGGCGTATTATGGCAAGATTAAATGTATACTGATACAGTGAAGGAAATCTTAAGCTATACAGTTAGGGGGCTGTGAAAAGCTTTTAGGAGTAAATTATGTTTGAGCTGAGACCTGCAGAACGGGTGAGAGAAAGGGAAGACAAAGAAAGCAGAGAACAGAAAATTAAGGAGATAAAGAGGAGTGAGCAGGTGCAAGCTCAAGTAAGGAGAACGAGTAGCTTGTTTTTTTATAGACTAGCCCAAAACCGTGACCACATGGGGCTACAAAGGCCTGGGTTTGATTGGTAGAAAAAGAAAAACATTCAATAATTACACTATGAAATAAGTAAAGGCCATGTTACCAAGTTTTTGCTAGAAGGAACCCATCCTATAGGGTAAAGATGAAAATGAAAAAAAAAAGAAAGAAAGCATGCGACAACACGTTTGGTTTATTGCTGCTTTAGTAACTTCAAATCCCCACATTTTGAAAATAGGAAGTTAATTCCCAAATATCTTTAACTACCCTTCCCTTCAAGCTTGAGTATTCAGATTAGGAGTTCATGATTTTATTTAGGAGAATAGACTCCTTAACAGGATCTCTGTCGAGGAATCTACTTTCTATACAAATTATAGTGTTTTGCAGATGTGTATTAGTTATACATTGCTGCATAGCAAGAACACGACAAACTTGTGACTTAAAATAACATACATTTGTTACTGCATAGTTTCTGTGGGTTTGGAGCCCAAGCATGATTGACTTTGGTCTCCAGGTAATGGTTTACTTAGAGTCTCAAAAATTTTCAGTCATATTTTTGGCTGTGGCTGTGATCTGAGCCTCTATCAGGGAACTTATGCAGTTGTTCGCAAAATGCATTTCCTTGCAGGTTACTAGGTGAAAGACTTAATTTTCTTGCTGACTGTAAGCTATAGGTGATCCTTAGCTGCTAGCTGTGTGGCCCTCTCCATATGGCAGTCCACAATATTTGAGCCTGCTTCTTTAAAGTGATTCAGGGAGAGAAAATCTCCTTGCAAGATGGGCACTACAATTTTATGTAATGTAATTTTGTATTTGTGATTACAAATATACATCATCTTTTCTGAATTCCATTGCTTAGAAGCAGGTCATAGGTCCAGCACACACTCAGTGAGAGAGACGTACACAAAGGCATGAATACGAGAAGATAGGACCCTGGAGGTCATGTGAAATTCTATCTTCCTAAGGAGGTTTCTCTGTTAAACTTTAACGTGGTGAATTGCTAATTATTCCCCTTCACAAAAATGAGCATGTGGATGGCTCCATCATACAATCTAGCTTCTGCTTCAGAAATTCAGTAGCAAGTACATCTCCAGGTAAAACTGCTTCACAATGCCTTATCTGCCATACAGCTGAGCCTGATATGTTTGACCAATGTCTAGGGATAAAGTTAGTCTCATTTCACCACTGATTAGAATCATCCAAGTTCAGGGGATGCTGTAAGTTCAAAACCTGTTAATAAATGAGAATACCCCCATGATTTTTATGACTCCTCAGTTTGAAGCTCTTCTTCTTTACTAATTATGATTTATTTAGGCAAGGAAAAGCTTAGCAGACTTGGGAACCAACTGTGCTATGTAGTTATGTAAAAATTGCCAGAGAGAGGAGGTCAGAAGGGAGAGCAGGCAGCAGGCTTTCCCAAATTATGTGAGAACTTTAATCCACGAAGACCTCATAGGCAATTGTTTTGTAAAATGACATCCAAACAGTTGTAACTGCCAACAGCTATTTTATTCTTGACATCAATTTCTGAAAACATCACCTGTGAAAAGTTCAAAATTTAGCATTTCCTATTGTTTTCCTTTTTCTTTGAGTGTTGATGTGAAAAGTGCTATTTGGGGAAGAGAACAAATACTAATGACCTCCAGATGAGATAAAGGGATGCAGAGGATGTAGGGGGCAAGGATGTGGACATGGGAATCAGGAGATCTTTGCACTACTTCAGGCAAACTATGACTCCCAGAAAGACAATTAATCTCTTTGGGCCACTGATTCTGATGTGTACACCATGAGAGAAACAGATGCTTCTGCCTAATGCTTTGATAGTTTATAAGGAGAAATTAAGGCATCAGTTACTAAAAAAATAGAGAGAAGGGCTTTTACTACATTCCTTACATTTAATTCTTTATTGTTGTCTTGGGGTAAAAAGAGAATAAAATAAAAAGAAAGAAAGAACCTAGTGTTTCCAGAATTGAATATGATTATAAAGCTTGGCGTTGTAAGGCCATGTCTTCAATTTGTTATGGTAATACATTTAGAAAGCAAATTAGTCTAATTCAGTAAATCTCAAATTACTTCTCCAGTCCAAAAGAACCACCTGGGTATCTGCCAGGAAGGAGATGACCAGATTTCATTTCCAGATGTTCTCTATTAGAAGGTCGTGAGTGGGTCTCCGTAATCTTCATTTTTTACAAGTGCCCACTAATGCAGTCTGATGCAGCTTTTTCCTAGACTTCCTTTTGCAATACCTTACCAAAAGTATAAGAATTCTGATCCCTACCTCTTTGATTTCTTCCCCATGCTCCAGAAGGGCCCTTACGCAGACTGTTCCATTTGCATTGAACACTCTCTACTCTCCCTTCCACACTGTTCTGACTTACTTAGATTATCTTTCAGATTTCACCTTAATGTCAGTTTCTCCAATAAAGTTCTTCCCACTGCCCCGACTAGTTTAATCCAATCCCTCTTATGCATTTTATAACTATTTACTTCTTCATAGCAATTATCATAATTATAGTTAGTTAATATCTGCATAATTGTTTGTGTTATGTCTCTCTCCTCACCAGCATATAGGATTCTATGAGGCTAGAGACTGTGTTTATTTGGTTCACTGAGCCTGAAGAAACAGCTTGACCATAGTAGATGCATTATAAACATGTGTTGAATAAAACAAAGAAGGAAGGGAGGGAGGAGGAAAAAGACAGCATAATCAATCAAAAATATGTTCTGCTTCAGGAGTTTGGGAGAATCCAAGAGAGGAACAAAATGCTAAATTATTTAAAGTGATATCCAAAGATCAAGCCTATATGAATATATCACAGAAAAATCTGAAAACATTTAGCTGTCCTCTAAAAGTTTCAGCTGAAATCATTTTCTGCAAACTGAATATATTCCAACATGATTCTTCTAAGAAATTATTTAGACTTTTATATATTTTGAGGATATAAGTTCATTAAGAGAGCTGTAAATTATGATTTAATTTTATTCATAATTCATAAGAATTATTATCTAAAGAGTCACAAAGCACAGAAAAAAGTTTGAGCAATAAGATTATTTAGGAATTATTAATTCATAAATTAAAATGACAAATAAACCCATTAGAAAAATGCCATTAAAAAGTGCTCAGTATTGATGAAGGTAAAACCCATGTCCATTGATTGGGCATTTGCAGTGTGAACTCTCTATTTCTCGCTTGACAAGATCATAACCAATAGGGATGGTACCAGACTTAGAAGGGTTCAATTTGTAATATTTTGGCTTTATGATGGGTTTTTCAGAGTTTATTAAAATGTAACCCCATCAAAAGTCATGAGCATCTATGTTGTTGGTAAGCTACTGAAAAACTCATTTGAAGTGAAAAAATGTAAAAAAATGATAAATATGGGCCTTAAATGTTTTATTTTAGCCTAAAACAAAAAAGGTTATTTATTTAACTACTCTGTTGATGTAGAGTCAAGTCTTCCTTGAATGTGTCTGCTGATAGAAATCTGTATACTCTTTCTTGCCAATAAAATAAACAACAACAACAACAACAGAATCCATTTAATATATCTTCTACGATTTCCAGTATAGGTTTCTTAAGGTGAAGTTGAAGTTTTTAAACCCCTTTAATTGAATCCAGTACAAAATATTTGTAGATGTTTATGACCTTTTTGTTTTCTAAAAAATTTTTACTCATGTCTTCCACATCTATTCTGATAGCGATTTTGCTTTAGATGGCTTACCCTTATAAAGTCAAAATTATTTAACAGTTTGCATAAAAACACAGCTCTTTTTCCCCTTGCATTTATATTTAATCAGAGTAAGCATTGTATTGATTATAATAACAAAAGGAACAAATATGGGGAAAAATAAAAACCACAAGTGACTCTTGACAAGCACACAATTTAAATAATAAACCTGGAATTGTGGAGGCTGACTTTAGGGAAAACCCCTGAACCCTGGTCCTATTGTGAAGGGAGAGTGTTCAATGATTTGGTGAGTTAAGTGGAAGTCAGCTAAGACAGTCTCTATAACTTAAACATCTACTGCAGTGTTTCCCAGAGTGTTGATAAACTGCATATTTATAAACGTAAGACATTTCTGTCATCTTTACCCAACAATATTGTCTTACTAAATAAAAAGTCATAGTCTTATATTGAATCCTAAGCTTTTTGTTTGGATCAAAACCCGGTAACCTCACATTTTTCAATTTACAAATGATACCATTGAGGCAAGTGGAGGTACCCTTGACACAAGGACCATTATGAGAAGGTAAGCAATGAGGTAAGATAGGTGTATTAGTCTGTTCTCACATTGCTGCAAAGAACTAGGTGAGACTGGTTAGTTTATGAATGAAAGAGGTTTAATTGACTCACAGTTCTGCAGGCTTAACAGGAAGCATGACTGTGAGGCCTCAGGAAACTTACAATCATGGCGGAAGGCAAAGGGGAAGCAAGCACCTTCTTCACAATGGTGGCAACAGACAGAGAGAAGAGGGAAGTACCACACACTTTTAAGCAATCATATCTCACAAGAGGTTACTATCACAAGAACCGCAAGAGGAAAATCTGCTCCCCTAATACAATCACCTCCCACTAGGACTCTTCTCCAATTACATGAGATTTGGGCGGGGACACAAATAAAAACCATATTCCACCCCAGCCCCTCCAAAATCTCATGTCCTTCTCACATTGCAAAACGCAATTATGCTGTCTCAACATTCCCCCAGTCTTAGCTCATTTCAGTATTAACTCAAAATTCCATGGTCCAAAGTCTCATCTGAGACAAGGTAAGTCCCTTTCTCATATCAGCCTGTAAAATAAAAAAAGCAACTTCGTTACTTCCAGGATACAATGGGAGTATAGGCTTTGGGTAAATGCGCCCATTCCAAATGGGAAAAATTGGCCAAAACAAATGACTATAGACCCCATGCAAGTCAGAAACCCAGCAGGGCAGTCATTAAATCTTAAAGCTCCAAAATAATTTCCTTTGACTCCATGTCTCACATCCAGGCCATGCCAATACAAGAGATGGACTCCAAAGATCTGGGCATCCTGCCTCTGTGCCTGTGCTGGGTACAGTCCCTATTGCTGCTTTCAGTGCCTTCAGGCTGGCATTGAGTGCCTTCAGCTTTTCCAGGTTCACAGTCCAAGCTATCAGTGGGTGTACCATTCTGGGGTATGGAGGATGGTGACCTTCTTCTCACAGCTCCACTAGGCAGTGCCCCAGTGGGGATTGTGGGGTGGGGGGGCACCAACTTCACATTTTCTCTCTGCACTGCCCTAGTACAGGTTCTCCATGGGAGCTCTTCCCCTGCAGCAGACTTCTGCCTGGACATTCAGACATTTCCATACATCTTCTGAAATCTAGGTGGAGGTTCCCAAACCTCACGTCTTACCTTCTGCACACCTGCAGGCCCCAAACCATGTTGAAGCTGCCAAATTTTGGGGCTTACATCCCCTGAATCAGTGGCCCAATCTTTACCTTGGCACCTTTTAACCATAGCTAAAGCTGGAGCAGCAGTGACACAAGGTGCCATGTCCTGAGGCTGCACAGAGCAGCAGGGACCTGACTCTGGTCCGTGAAATCATTTATCCCTCCTAGGCTCCAGAACTGTGATGAGAGGGGCTGCAAAGAAGGTCTCTAAAATGCCCTAGAGACATTTCACCCATTGTCTTGGCTATTAACATTCTGCTCCTCTTTACTTATGCAAATTTCTGCAGCTGGCTTGAATTTCTCCACATAAAATGGGTTTTCTTTCCTACTACATGGCTGGGCTACAAATTTTCCAAACATCTATGCTCTGCTTCCCTTTTAAATATAAGTTCCAATTCCAGACCATCTCTTTCTTCGTGCATATGAGTGTACAGTTTTAGATACATCCAGGACACCTCTTGAATGCTTTGCTGCTTAGAAATTTCTTCTGCTAGATACCCTAAATTATCTCTTTCAAGTTCAAAGTTCCACAGATCTCTAGGGGAGGGACAAAATGCTACCAGTCTCTGTGCTAAAGCATAGCAAGAGAGACCTTTATTCCAGTTCCCAAAAAGTTCCTCATCTCCATCTGAGATCACTTCAGCCTGGACTTCACTGCCCATGTTACTATCAGTATTTTGGTCACAACCATTCAACAAGTTTCTAGGAAGTTTCAAACTTTCCCACATCTTCCTGTCTTATTCTGAGCCCTCCAAACTGTTCCAACCTCTGCGTGTTATCCAGTTTCAAAGTCACTTCCACATTTTCAGCTACTTTTATAGCACTGCCCCATACTCCTGGTACCAATTTCCTGTATTAGTACATTCTTACACTGTTGTAAATAACTACCTGAGACAGCGTAATTTATGAAGAAAAGAGGTTTAATTGACTCACAGTTTTGCAGGCTTAACAGGAAGCATGACTGGGAGGCCTTAAGAAGCTTACAATCTTGGTAGAAGGTGAAGGGCAAGCAAGCAAGTCTTACAATGGCAGAGGAGGGAGAGAGCGAGAAGGGGAAAATGTCACACACTTGTAAACCATCAGATCTCATGAGAACTCACTCACTATCTGAGAACAGCCCATGATCCTATCACCTCTCACCAGGCCCCTCCTCCAATTCAACATGAGATTTGGGCAGGGATACAAATCCAAACCATATCAATAGACATATTTATACTGTTGCATTCGGGACTAAGTGTCGACAAGATATTTGGAGGGGCACATAAAAATGTATTCAAACCATAGCAACCTGAAAGCCTGTATTTGTGATTAGTTAACAACTCCAGCCATCATTTCTCTTAAGAGTGAAATCAAAACCAACAGCAACAAAAATAGTTAAATAAACTCAAAATATATGATCGTATATGCTTTTTGCATCATGATGTGATTTATGATGATTATAATGTTTACCACGAAGCACTCTTGAGGTGTACTGCAGTTTAAGACCAAAACCTTTCAAAGTAGGTTGAATTGTGTTTCTTTGAAATTAGTGTGGAAACGTTTTTTAGAGATTAAAGTTTTCATTTTTTTCCTAAAAAGAACTATCAATTGTACAAAAATTATATTATGTAATATACTACTTCCTTAGGACTGCCCAAACAAATTATCACAATTTGAGTGGTTAAAAAAAACATATTTATTCTCTCACAAATGTGAAGGTCAGAAGTCTGAAATCAAGTTGTCAACAGGGTTGATTCCTTCTGGAGCAGCTGAAAAAGAATCTCTTCCATGTCTGTCTCCTAACTTCTGTGACTGCCAGCAGTCCTTGGCATTCTTTGGTTTGTAACTCCAAAACTTCAGTCTCTGACTCTATATTCACATGGCTTTCTCTGATCTGCAGCTCAGTGTCTCAACTCTCATTCTCTGTTTTCTAATGAAGACTTCAATAATTCCATTTAGGGCTAACCCTAAATCCAGGAAGATCTGATCGTGAGATCTTTAACTTAACTCATCTTTACAGAACCTATTTCCAGGTAATGTTACATTCACACGTCCTGGGGCTCAGGATTTGGATGTATCTTTTGGTGGGAACACCATTCAAACCCCTACATATAATTATGCAATGTGTAGTTTTATGCTGTAGTTTATTCAGGACTTTTACTGTTATAAAGAATTGAATCTGTGAAATGATAATCAGATTTGATTATATTAGAAGAAGACTACTTTCTGAGAATTCTAAAAGCTTTCTCTTAGTGGAACAGATTTTTGTCTTGATGCATGAACATCTGCTCATGTCTCATAAAATAGTTTGTATTCTTACAAATGCAAAATGATCACGAACTTAGACAGTTGGGTTTTCCTGTGGGAAAAGATTCAGAACTCCCTAAAATTCACTTTAAGACCCTAGTGATGTTAAAGGATATCACAGTCTGTCATTAGATTGACATATTATCTAGATCAACACTGTGTGTCCCAGTTATGAGTTGTAAAGCTGTCCATTATTCTGTTTTCTTTCCTTTGTGTTTCAGATTATCAATCTTTTAGATTCCGGAGCCATCTATTTCCATTACAGCAAAACTCAATTTCTCTTGACCTCATAGTTTCATCTACAATTCTCTGATCTGTATCTCAGTAAATTAGTTTATCAATGACCAGCCCTATTACTTTTCCATTCCTGGTGTCTCTCACTGACATGTTTTTAATGGATATTTACTTCTCAGTCTTATTCAGTGAAGGCAAGAAAGTGATAGACATGGGGTTTGATGGACTTACATATTTGCATATAGTAGGAGTACAGAGTTGATTAGCAAAAGAAAATATTTTTAAGTGAAAAAGTAATTGGATGAGGAAAATAAATGAACACAAGAAAATATAAAACCAAACTTAGCTTAAAAATATTATGTGCCTAGTATGTACTGTAGTGGTTGGAAATGTAATATAATATAGTATGTGCGGAAAATAAAATGTACCCTGATCTAAGACTCAGGAGAACTAAAATTTCATATTAATTGCCAGTGTAACCTTGAGCAAAATCCCTTTATCTCATTGAAACACAAGTTTTCTTAATTGTAAAACAATGGGCTTGAACTAGATCATTTCCGGAGTCCCTTTTAGATTTTGGTAGTTTATGGTGAGATATAAACAATAGGATAGAAATAGAATATAAATAATCACCTAGAACTTCTAAATCTATCACTGGAAATGAATATTTCATTGCTTATAACTTTCAAAGTATTATTCTATTTTCATTGATATTTCAGTCCACCTGAATCTAGCTTAACCTTTTAGAAACATTATTTGGCCGGAGGGACTGTATTTTTTTTTCTATCAAAGAATAAATGCTGGCTTCTGGAATACCTGGCAATGCAGAAAAATTGTTTCAGATACCCCTATATCATTCAGCATCATGAACACCAGATGCCTTTTTATACACTATATGATGCTCAACATTTTCATATGTATTTGTGCAAATTCCCCCACTTAATTAGGTTGTAATTCACATGTAAAATAATTTTTGTTTTAGCATTAACTGAAATTCCTGATTATATGTTTGGATAAACACAGAGAACCGTTTTAAAGATATGCTTACAATAGGCAATTCAGGATTAACTGATTATGCCATGGAAGGATACCAAAGGTAGAAACAGAAAACTAAAAATACGCTATTAATCAATATTGAAGCCATGACCCTTTCCCTCCAGGTCTTCCTTAAATGGTACCACATCATGCTATTTGGTACCATGTCATGTTAGCAGCTAGAAATATTCTTGAGGAATGTCTTTATTTATTTTAAATAATAAACCTTTAAAATCTAGATAATTAAATTGTTGACACAGAATTTACCAAAATATTTTAGTGCATAATTGTTCTTCCTAGTTTCTATAAGGGATACAAACATGGCATTTTCCTGACTTGACAGAATTTATTAAACTAGAGCTCAAATAATAGATTTGCATGTAGGCAACAATTATACAAATTGTAAATATACAAAAGAGAAACAAAGTTTTGAGAGTCTAAAATAAGAAGATAAAAAATAGTGAAAAAATATCCAGAAAAATATACATACATGGGAAAGGTGATAGATGTTTTGAGCCTTGAAAAATAAGATTCCAACAGTCAACAATGAGAAGAGGCACAACCTTGATGTGGCTGAGGTATGATAGATTGGATGTGTATTGAAAAATAATACCAAAACTGTAGATTGGAGTGGAAAAATGGATGGCCTTGAATGCCATCCTAAACTTGAGAAAATTACTTTTGGGGTATTTTGAAAGATAAGTTGATTATGAAGATCAAAAGACTAATGGTTTGTAGTGTTGGAACTGGAAAGAAAGAATAAACTTAAGAGAATATTGCAGAAGTAAACTCAGTATGACACTAAATTTGCAGTTGTACACCTTGTCAAACACATTTGCATAATAATACTTTGTACTCTATTATTATCTCACATAATGTTTTTATCACTAAGTGCTTAATAAGCAGTCATTAAGAGTAATAAGTCAGACAAAAATGATATGCAAATCACACGTTTTCAGGTATATAGCATAAATATAATTTTTCCTGCTGCGTAAGTATTCTTGATGCTTTCTGAACCCTTTGTATTTAGAAGAATTTCTTGTCATTGTTATTTGGTGTTTGTGTTGTCTGATAATTTTCCAAGATGACTATGTCATTTCTCAAGCATCTGTGTTTGAGGATTCAGAAATCAGGGAGTCTTTTTGGTGAACTCTCTTTTTTCTTCTCTGAATTTATGTTCTTTGTCTCGCGTCATCATCTAGGATAACAACAGCATCACTACAGTTGATTTTCCTCATTTTCTCTTGATAGTATGTGTCTTCAGAGATGATAAAAGCTGCCCTCCCCCACCTTGGTGTCAAAAGTTTTATATATATATATATATATATATATATATATATATATATATATATATACACACAGACATACACACACACACATACACAGAGATAGCTTCAAAATAAATACTTTTATATGAATGTATGTATATACACACATAGCTGTATATATATACAGATTCAAAATAAATACTTTCTTTTTACACTGTATATATTGAATATATACGTTTGATAAAAATATTCATTTAGAACTTCTGTATATATTACTGAAAATGGATATTTGATTGCTTATAACTTTCAAAGAATTATTCTATCCTCATTGATATTTCAGTCCACCTGAGTCTAGCCTAACCACTAAGAAACATTATATTACTAGAGGAACTGGATTTTTTTTCCTATCAAATTAGAAAAAAAAATCATCACCTGCCATCACAATGATGGAAATAGGGTTGTTATATCAACAAATTTAAAAAACAATATGTTTAATTTTTTTATCACATTTTATTTTATTTTATTTTATAGAATCCTTCGTGGTTGCAGAGTGAGTCTTAGCTTCACTTTAACACTAGAAATTTCTTGCTATGATATATTGGAAATAACTCACCTAGAGTTATTAATTTGTTAAGTAGGCATTCTGAGGCATAAGAATTACCCTTCACCCTCTTTCTCCCTTCAGATTCTGCTTGATAAAACATCTACGCCCCCACCCCAACCCAAGAAAAACAGTACCTACAAACAGTACTGGGAGACCATTTATTAATACCACAGCAACTATTATGTTTAAAACGCATGTTTTGGTAAAAATTGATTTATAAGACACAGATTAGGGGGAAGGTTCAAGTGGAGTCTCCTGTTTCCTTACTTTGGAATTGAAAACCACTTGTAATTCAAGGCTGTCCTGACCTACCCATTCAGTTATAGGCAGAAGAGCCCGTAGATAGCCAGAGTATAACAAGTTTCCCTCTGTCCTCTGTGGGAAAGTCTTCTCTGATCTCATTAATACAAAGAAACAGGAAGTTCAAAGGGATTCAAAAGGGGGAGAACAGAGCTCCTGCTGTACCAGAGCACAGATCAAAGAGACAAAAGCTGAGTTCTTGCTCTAACACAACCATAACTCTACAGCCTAGTAAAATAAGATCTCATACTTATCATTCAAACACACACACACAAAATGAAATTGGTTGCTTCTCCATAGAATAAGGATATGAAATGAAGGGCATAATTTTCTTCCCAGACATTGCCCCCATGTGATGAGAAGGTGAAACTCTCATCTTTTATGCCCTAAAACCTGGAAAGTATGCATTTATCTTTAGCCAATAAATATCAGGTAACCAATTATTTTGGAAACATTGTATTGAAAGAGAATTTTCCAAAAGTCTCTCTTGTTTCAACACATCTCGATATTAACAGTCAATTTGCTTCAGATTATCTTTTCAGAAATGATTGTATGAGTAAATGATTTTGGTAAGAATAAGACAGTAATCCCCTCTGGAGCAGATTTAGTTAATTTCCAGGTTAGTAAAGATAAAAATGTCTCCTTCTTCTGGAGAAATTCTAAGATTGTAAAAATAGAGACATCTCCCTCTTCTCTCCAGAGCAGACTTGCTAATATTCTAGATAATAAAGATAATATCTTTTTCTGGACAGATTTGCCAGCAGCCCCTATTTAAAACTGGCACTTTCTAGTGTCAGGGCTCCAGTTCTGTAAATTACCCCCACTACTTATGCTGGCAACATGTTGTTTTCATGATATTGCCCTTTGGGAATTTGGAACTTGAGGAACATGTGTCACATAATAGCTAGGGCTGGTGCTGTGAGTAATAAACTGTCTTCTGTTTCTGACCCAGAGGACTCAAGCAGTTCTTTCTTTTTTTTTTTTTTTTTTTTTTTGAGACAAAGTCTTCTCTTGTGCCCCAGGCTGGAGTACAGTGGTGTGATCTCGGTTCACAGCAACCTCAGCCTTCTGAGTAGCTGGGATTACAGGCACCTGCCACCACGCCCAGCTAATTTTTTTACTTTTAGTAGACACAGGGTTTCACCATGTTGGCCGGGCTGGTCTTGAAATCCTGACCTCATGTGATCCGCTTGCCTCAGCCTCACAAAGTGCTGGGATTACAGGCATGAGCCACAGGGCCTGGCCTCAAGTAGTTCTATTGGTTACTCTAAGCGTATGACAGTCTCACTTGTTAGCTCGTGAGTAGGGTAAACTCAGGCCGTTCAAACTTCTTGAAATGACAATGAATACATTTCTCTTTAATAAGTTATGGAAAAGACGTAAATAGTGTTTAGGAAAAAAATGAAGCTAATGTTTATTGAAGGCATACACATTATATTGTTTAATCCTCACAATGACTTAACATAGTACAAACTTGAAAGTGGGAGGCTTTCTCCAGTTTTATTCTCTGCATTTTCTCCAGTTTCTAACAGTCTCTGTCACAAAGCAGATGCTCAAGAAACATTTGTTACATAAAAATGAATAAATATGCGTGTTTATGTATATTTTTGCAGATGGTGGATTGCTGTTCAGAAAGGAGAAAAAGTTTCCTATAGTCACACAAATCAATCAGATTGCATAGTCCTTTATGGAAGTTTCTTTTTTCTCTAAAACACATCAAATAACCATACACTGAACTATAACTAAAACAAATAAAATATAAAATAAACTAAAATTATTTCACTATAAAAATATATTCATTACAGCCTGCATGCAGAAATCATAGTTTCTTTCACACCTGTGACTTAAAAATTATGTGTATTTAATACACATAATTATGTGTAAATATTTAGGCAATATAGCTCTGTATATTTGATTATTCAACATGTCCAAAAATAACCTTGCCTTAACCCACGAAGTATGCAAAAATTATTTTTTATTTTAAATAAATTAACCAGGAATTTCCTTATGACTATGACATTCATTTGTATGATACTAAGCTATTTTTAGAAAGACTCAGAGCTTATATATAGAATTATGTAAGTAGTCCCCAAATCACAAATAAATATGAAATTCATCCACATTTCCTCATAAAAAGAGGATCATACTAATCAGCTATGCTCATAATTTCATGATAAAAGATTCAAAGTCTACATTAAGTTGGGAAAGAAAAAGTTAAAGCTGCCTGTCTTTGATTAATTTCTCTCCCAATGACTGGGAACGCTCTGGGCAAAGAAACAAGATAGAGAGTATTTTCTAATCTCCTTGTGAATGTTATGATAACTGGTTCTCTTAGTAAATACAATAATGATATTTGATAGGAGCAAAATACCTCTCTATAGAACAATGTTAGCTGGGTGTCATAGATCTACGATTGCTTATGAGAAACAAATCTAGGAGCTATGTTTCAATGAATCATGGCTCCCTGAAGAATGTCATGTAAGCTATACAATACAGCTTACATAAATAAGCTAAAAAACCCCACTGTGTGAGGCATATATCCGATGTTAATGAAGAATGAATAGTCTTGGAGCTGCCCGCAATGTCTGAGACCTCTTCCAGTTTTGCCTCTGTGGCTTGATTGTTTATATCCTTGAAACTATAGGTAAAGCTTGGTTCTGGGTAAAATATCTGATTTGTATGATTCTTATTTAACAACCTAATCTTTTATGTTGGCTCATAGTCTACACTGATTTTTCTTCAATTCATAGTAAGAGAGATGAATAATAAATATATGATTTAGCAAAATGCATTATCTGACTAGATGGTTCTATTCCTAGAACTAGCAGAAAGTGCTGTCAGCTATCAACTAATCACTGCATTTAACACATATTATGTTTACTTAGATTATATACTTAGGTTATTCCAAATTATGCAATGGCTTATATGTTCTACTGGCTGTTTGCTGTATTTGTGTCCTTTTTCACCATTACTCCAGAAGTATCTCTAAAACACTTCTATACCACAATTACCTTCTTGATCTTGTATTAATAGAGATCAATCATGCTGTTATAGACTGACCATGATGCTTAGCAGTAAGAACACAACTTTGTTTTAACCCAGTATCACTTCTTAATACACCTGTGTCCCTTCTTGTGTTCTCTAAGCAGAAATTATTTATGAACCACTTTTCTTCTTATCAAAAACAAGCGCAGCATTTCTCTCTGTTATTAAGATGAAATAATATAATGATGCATATGAAAGCATGCTTTGTTAATGAATGTGGATGGTTCTTGTGATCAATGAATTCTGACAAACGTAAATTGTTTCCAAAAAATAGGCTTCAAGAGGGCAGGGAGAGTTTTCCTTTCCCTGCCACACACCCAGAATATGTAATGCCTACTTATTTTATGTCTATATCTACATCTATCTATCTGATGAATGTTTACAAACAGTGAAATAGAATTGTTTTTCAAAACATAGTTATTATCTCACCATTGAGGTATATTAGAAATATCAATAAGGTATTAACATCCCAGAGTTTTCACTGTCACATTCATGTGTTTTGTATTTGTTATGAAAATACAGATTTAGGAGCACATTTCTAAACCACTGGAAAAAAGTATTTGTGCTTATTTGTGTATCACTTGAATATATTCATTTTATGTAGATTTATTCCAGAGAACCCAGGAAGCTACTGTAAATATTTTAAAAACTGTGTGATGCCAAGTCCCTTTGATGAAATAAATAAAGAGAAAATTAAACACCAGAAAATAAATATCTGCAATTTGGCTAGGCAGATAAATTGCTATACCCAGGTTCAAGAAGAACAGGTTTGACCAAGTTTAAATGTCACAAAAGAGTGAAGCCGTTGTCTTGCAGAATCCCCTAAGAAAAATCCAAGGGCTGCAATTAAGTCTGACTCCTAAATTGCTTGGGAAATATTTAGAGGCTCTGCCATACTAAGTGTAACAGGATAATATTCTCATTAAGTTGTAGTCAATTATCATGAGTCGGTGTCATTTTAGAATTCAAACCAGTTGGTTGGATAATTCATTTCCAAGAGCCCACTGTGGCATAATCCTTCTGCAGCCATCTGTATCATAAGTTGATTCCCAAGTTTATTACTGAAACACCATGGCAATGTCAGTAAATCTACCAGAGTGATTTCCCTGTGGTCACACATGTATTTAGCCAAACAAATGGCTGTGTTTGCGGTAGGTAGCAGATGTTGTCAGTTATAGTATACAACATCATCTGAAGCATCTTTTCTGTAGTTGCAACTGAGAAGGTGTGGCAAAATGAAAGCAGCCAAGCGTTTTAAGCTTTATAAGGACCGGCTTTTTGTTCCTCAGATTCTCCTTTGATTTTCATTGTATCACTTTCCCAGGTATCCCCTGAATAGTGATAAGTTTCTATTGTTATCCATTTAGAGTGGTGATTAGTAGCATTGAATAATTCAAACAGACATAATACTGGGGTTTTGCAAAAGGCTTACCTCAGTATGACTTCCAATATATGCAAACGGTACCTCTCACACCCTCGCTAATTATTCCCTGTCCCAGTAGTATAAAGCATACTGTGCATGTTAAATGGATATCACTGAAGAATACATCACTGTATACAAAAATTAATATAAAATACCTTACATCTGAAATGCCTATTTTATCTTTGAAGGAGTATTTCTTTTCTTAAACATTCAAAACATCAATTGTATTTTTTTTTAATAATTGTGACTTTTATTTTGGATTCAAGGGGCAGATGTTCAGGTTTGTTACATGGGTATACTGCATGATGCTGAGGTTTGGGATACAAATGACCCTATCAACCAGGTCGTGAGCGTAGTACTCAATAGTTTTTCTTTCTTTCTTTTTTCTTTTTTTTGGGGGGTGGGGAGGGGGGAGACAGAGTCTTGCTCTGTTGCCCAGGCTGGAGGGCAATGGTGTGATCTCAGCTCACTGCAACCTCTTCCTCCAGGGTTCAAGTGATTCCCCTGCCTCAGCTTCCCGAGTAGCTGGGATTATAGGCATCTGCCACCAAGCCCGGCTAATTTTTGTAGTTTTTGTAGAGATGGGGGTTTTACCATGTTGGCCAGGCTGGTCTCAAACTACTGACCTTCAGGTGATCCACCCTCCTCGGCCTCCCAAAGTGCTGAGATTACAGGTGTGAGCACAATGCCCAGCCTCCCAATAGTTTTTCAACACTTACTTCACTCCCTCCCTCGCCTCTCCAGTAGTCCCCAATATCTATTGTAATATTTATGCCCATGTGTACTCAATGTTCAGCTCCCACTTATAAATGAGAACACGCAGTATTTGCCTTTCTGTTCCTGAATTAATTTGCTTAGGATAATGGCCTCTTGTCACATCAGTGTTGCTGGAAATGACATAATTTTATTGCTTTTTATGGCTCTATAGTATTCCATGATGCATGGGTACATTTTCTTTATCCAAGCTACCGTCGATGTGAATCTAAATTGATTCCATGTCTTTGCTATT
Source organism: Homo sapiens (assembly GCF_000001405.40). Classification (NCBI taxonomy): domain Eukaryota; kingdom Metazoa; phylum Chordata; class Mammalia; order Primates; family Hominidae; genus Homo; species Homo sapiens. The sequence continues at coordinate 37,607,858 of NC_000011.10, read as the reverse complement.
GTGAATAATGCTGTGATGAATATGTGAATTTATGTGTCTTTTTGGTAGAATAATTTATTTTATTTTGGGTATATACTCAGTAATGGGATTTCTAGGTCAAATAGTATTTCTGTTTTCAGTTCTTTGAGAAATATCCGAACTGCTTTCCACAATGGCTGAACTAATTTTCAAACAACAGTGTATAAGCGTTACCTTTTCTCTACAGCCTTGCTAGCATCTATAGTTTTCTGACTTCTTAATAATAGCTTTCTGACTGATGTGAAAACTACACTGTAGTTTTGATTTGCATTTCTCTGATGATTAGTGAGCATATTTTCATATGTTGGTTGTTTGTTTGTACATCTTCTTTTGAGAAGTATCTCTTCATGTCTTTTGCCCACTTTGTAATAGGGTTATTTGCTTTTTTTATGTTGCATTGTTTAAGTTTCTTATAGACTCTAGAAATTAGCACTTTATTGAATGCATAGTTTGTGAATACTTTCTCCCATTCTGTAGGCTGTCTCTCTCTTTTTTTTGGAGACGGAGTCTCGCTTTGTCACCCAGGCTGGAGTGCAGTGGCGCAATCTCGGCTCACTGCAAGCTCAGCCTCCCGGGTTCACGCCATTCCCCGGCCTCAGCCTCCAGGTAGCTGGGACTACAGGCGCCTGCCACCTCACCCGGTTAATTTTTTTTTTTTTTTTTTTTTGTATTTTTAGTAGAGATGGGGTTTCACCGTGTTAGCCAGGATGGTCTCGATCTCCTGACCTCGTGATCCACCTGCCTCAGCCTCCCAAAGTGCTGGGATTACAGGAGTGAGCTACCGCGCCCTACCAGTAGGCTGTCTCTTAACTCTGTTGATAGTTTATTTTCTGTGCAGAAGCTCATCAGTTTAATTAGGCCTCACTTTTCAGTTTTTGTTTTTGCCAGAATTGCTTTTGGGGACTTGGCCATGAATTCATTCCCAAGGCCAATTATCCAGAATGGTGTTTCCTAGGTTTTCTTTTAGCATTCTTCTAGTTTGAGGTCTAACATTCAAATCACTAATCAATCTCGAGTTAATTTTTGTGTATGGTGAAATGTAGTGGTTCAGTTTTATTCTTCTACATATAACTAGCCAGTTTTCCCAGCACCATGTGTTGAGTAGGGAGTTTTTTCTCCATTATTTAGTTTTGTCCACACTGTCGAATATCAGATGGCTGTAGGTGTGTGGCTTTATTTCTGTGTTCTAACTATTCTGTTACATTGGTCTATGTATTTGTTTTTGTACCAGTACCATGCTTTTTGGTTACCATAGTCTTACAGTATAGTTTTACTTTGGATAATGTGATGCCTTCAGCTTTGTCTTTTTTTGCTTAGAATTACTTTGTCTATACAGGCTCTTTTTGGTTCCATGTGAATTTTAGAATAGTTGTTTTCTAATTCTGTGAAAAATCATGTTGGTCGTTTGATAAGAATAGCATTAACCCTGTAGATTTCCTTTAGGCAGTATGGCCATTTTAATGATATCGATTCTTTCAATCCATGAGCATGGAATAGCTTGAAATTTCCTCTTGTTTTCTTTCAGCAGTGTTTTGTAGTTCTCCTCATAGTTATCTTTTATTTCCCTATCAGATGTATTCCGGAGTATTTTATTTTTTTGTGTGGCTATTATAAATAAGATTATATCTTGATTTGGCTCTCAGCTTCAATGTTATTGGTGTATAGAGATGCTATTGTTGAACAATGAGAACACATGGACACAGGCAGGGGAACATCACACACCGGGGCCTGTTCAGGGGTGGGGGGCAAGGGGAGGGAGAGAATTAGGACAAATACCTAATGCATGCGGGGCTTAAAACCTAGATGATGGGTTGAGAGGTGCAGCAAACCACCATGGCATATGTATAACTATGTAACAAACCTTTACATTCCGCACATGTATCCCAGAACTTAAAGTACAATAAAAAATAAAATAAAATAAAATAAAATAAGAAATGCTATTGATTTTCACATATTGATTTTGTATCCTGAAACATTACTGAAGTCATTTATGAGTTCCAGGAGCCTTTTGGCCGTCTTCAGGGTTCTCCAGGTATAGAATTATATCGCCACTGAAGAGAGATAGTTTGGCTTCCACTTTGCCTACTTGGATGTTTTTTTTTTTTTTTTCATTTCTTTCTCCTTCCTAAATGCTCTAACTAGGGCTTCTGGTACTATGTTGAATAGGAGTGGAGAGAATCAACATCTTTGTCTTGTTCCAGTTTTCAGTATGCTGTTGTTTGTGGGTTTGTCATAGAAGCCTCTTACTATTTTGAGACATATTCCTTCAATGGCTAATTTGTTGACAGCCTTTATCATGAAGGATTGTTGGATTTTATCAAAGGTTTTTTCAACATCTATTGGGATGATTATATAGTTTGGTTTTTAATTCTGTTTATGTGGTGAATCACATTAATTGATTTATGTATGTTGAAACAACTATGACTCATAGGAATGAAGCCTACTTGATGGCTGTGAATGAACGGTTTGATATGCTACTAGATTTGCTTTTTTTAGTATTTTGTTGAGAATTTTTGTATCTATGTTCATCAGTGATATTGGCCTATAGTTTTCTTATGTCATTGTATCTTTGCCAGGTTTTGGTGTCAGGATGATCCTGGCTTTGTAACATGAGTTAGGGAGGAATCCCTCCTCCTTGATATTTTGAAATAGTTTCACTAGAATTGGTACCGACTCTTCTTTCCATGACTGGTAGAATTCAGCTGTGAATCCATCTGGTCTAGGGCTATTTTTGCTTAATAGATTTTTTTATTACTCATACAATATCAAACTCAATATTGGCCTGTTCAGGGTTTCTATTTTTTTCCTATTTCAATTTTGGGAAGTTGTGTGTTTCCAGGAGTTTATCCATTTTCTCTAGATTTTCTTTATATATTTTTTTCTTGTTTTGTTTTTCCTTTAGAGTTTCTAGGCTGTGTGCATAAAGATGTTCATAATAGTCTCTAAAGTCTCTCTAAGGTCTTTCGTATTTCTGTGTGATCAGTTGTAATGTCACCTTTGTTGTTTTTGATTGTGCTTATTTGGACTTTTTTTTGTTAATCTAGCTAGCATTCTACCAATCCTGTTTATTTTTTCAAAGAACACTTTTTTTATTTCATTGATTCTTTGCATGAGTTTTTGAGTCTTAATTATGTTCAGTTCTCTTCTGATTTCAGTTTTTTCCTTTTTTTCTGTTAGGTTTGAGTTTAGTTTATTATTGGTTTTGTAGATCCTCTAGGATTGATGTTAGGTCATTAGTTTGAGATCTTTCTAATTTTTTAGGTAGATATTTAGTATATAAACTTTCCTCTTAACACTGCTTTAGCTGTCTCCTAGAGATTATGGTATGCTCTATCTTTGTTTTCATTAGATTCAATTTTTTTTTTAATTTTTTCCTTAATTTCATTGTTTACCCAAAAGTCATTTAGGAGCAAATTTAATTTTCATGCAATTGTGTGGTTTGGGGAGATCTTCTTGGTATCAATTTTCATTTGTATTCTACTATGGTCCAAGATTCTGGTTGGTAAAATTTTTATTTTCTTGAATTTATTGAGGCTTGCTTTATGGCTGAGCATGTGGTCAATTTTGAAATATGTTCCATGTGTAGATGGGAAGAATATATTAGGCAGTTAATGGATGGAGTATACTGTTGATGTCTAATAGGTTCAATTGGCCAAGTGGTGAATTTAAATCCAGGATTTCTTTGTTAGTTTTCTGCCTTGCTGATCTGTCTAATGCTGTCATTGGGTATTGAAGTCTGCCACTATTATTGTGTGGCTTTAAAGTCTTTCTGTATTTCCAGAAGTAGTTGTTTTATGAATCTGGTGCTCCAGTGTTGTGTGCATATATATATTTAGGAGAGTTAAGTCTTCTTGTTAAATCAAACCCTTTATCATTATGTAATGCCCTTTTCTCAAAGTTATTACAACAGTCCTTTATTACTATGTTTTGTTTAAAGTTCATTGTATCTGACATAAGAATAGTGACCTCTGCTTTCTTTTTTTTTCCATTTGCATGATAGATCTTTCTGCGCTTTTTTACTTTGAGTGTATGTGTGTCTTGATGTGTGAGATGGGCCTCTTGAAGACAGCAGAGGAATAGGTTTTGTCTTTTTCTCCAACTCTGAGTTGTTTTTATTGCAGCTCTGTCATTATTAGAATGTGGGGGAGTTTTGACCACTTGCATTCAAAATTAATAATGATATGTGACGTTTTGATACTATCATCAAGTTGTTAGATGTTTGCTTGTGGTTTCTATTGCATATTTGCTTTATAGAGTCTGTGGGCTATGTACTTAATTGTGTTTTTGTGGTAGCAGATATCATTCTTTTGTTTCCATGTTTGGAACTCTTTTAAGGGTCTCTTTTAAGGCTGGTCTAGTGGTAATAAATTCCTTTAGGGCTCACTTCTCTGATAGAAAATGTATTTCTTCTTTGCTTATGAAGCTTAGTTTGGCAGGATACAAAATTCTGGTTCGAATTTCTTTTCTTTAGAATGCTGAAAATTGGCCCCCGTCTCTCCTATTTGCAAGGTGTCTGCTGGGTAGTCTACTTTTATGCTGATGGGGTTCCCTTTCTACATGATCTTTTTCTCCCACTACCTTTACGATTTCTTCTTTAGCACTGACCTCAGGCAGTCCACTCTCTATATGCCTTGGTGATGTTTGTTTTGTCTAGTATCTCACAGGTGTTTTCTGGATTTATTATATTTGGATGCCTACCTCTACCAAGGTTAGGGAAATTTTCTTGAATCATTCCCTCAAATATGTTTTTCAGGTTGTTTACTTTTTCTCCTTCTCTCTCAGGAATGCCAAAAATTCCTAGGTTTGCTCACTTTATATAATCCCATATTTCTCATAGGCTTTGTTCAGTTTTTTTAAATTCTTCTTTCTTTATTTTTGTCCAAATGAGTTTGTTCAAAAGACTGGTCTTTAAGCTCTGAAATTCTGTCTTCTATTTAGTCCAGCCTGTTGATAAAGCTTCCAACTGTATTTTGAAATTCCTTAAGTGAATTGTTTAATTTCAGAAGTTCTGATTGATTTCTTGTTATGATGATTATCTCTTCCTTCATTTCCTGTAATGATTTAGAAGTAATGTTATTTTCAACCATTTCTTGGATCTTATTGATCTTCCTTGCTATTCATACTTTGAATTATCTGTCAGGTCTGAGTTTCCTTCTTCGTTGGGGACCATTGCTGGAGAGCTAGTGTGATCCTTTGGTGGTGTCACTACATTCAGATTTTTCATGATGCCAGAATTCTTGCACTGGTTCTTTCTTATCTAGAGATGCTGGCACTTCTAATTTTCATAAATATTTTCATTTAGGTGGGAATTTTTTCTTTCTTTCTCCATAATATTCTAGTTTATTTTTCCCTTTCCCTTTTTCTTCCCCCATCTCCATGACTTGTGACTGTAGAGGATGTTTGGTAGGGTCGTTTGGCTTTTCTTTTATAGCTCTGTGCACTTCTTTCAGTTGGTTTTATATTGGGTTGGGCTGTACAGTTTAACTTACAAGTCAATAGATAGTATTCCTGAGTAAGAGCTGGATGCAGCCAATGTGGCAAAGTATATACTTGATTCTTTTTTTACTGGAAGAAGCTCTTTTTTTGCCTCAAATAATGGGCTGATTTATGGAATGCACAGTCATTGGAGTTTCATGGTCATCCCCTAGTCATGGGGGTGCAAGAGGCAAGATGGATGGAGCCAGACCAGGCGGGCCCACCTACAGGTCCCCTGATGGCAGGCACACTTATTAACAATGAGGGAGATCCCAATGGCAGCTACCAAGTGCTTAAGCTTGTGTCTAGGTGTGGAGCTGAAAAACCTCCTCAGTACTTCTTCCAATAAAATCCCTAAGGAGAATGTGTGCATAGAGGCAAAGGAACAACAATGAAACTGTCTTTATTAATCTGTGGAAGTCATTGCAAAATAAAATGCCTATAGGAACCAAGGAGATCATGTAATTAATATTACATATAATCAGGAGCTCTTGTTTAGAGTTACACAGAGACCCACAGTGACAGGCGTTACTTTTGGTAGCTGTACTACATGCACAAAAACTTTGGCAATGCAATAGGGAAATAGAGGGATAAAGCAATAGCACCAATTTTTTACTATGTTTACTTTGAATATTGGTTGAATATACACTGCAAATCTTAAACTAACCAAATTTATCTTTTGGAAGATGGGTTTGCAGTATCAGCTGGCCTTTTTTTCTTGATAGTAGGCACAGGAAGAATTGGAGATGATGGATTAGGAGCTCAATGAGGTGTCAAAATTGGAGTTACAGATGTGTGAGTTTTGAAATAATAACTGAGGCAGTTCCAGCCATGGATGTGAGTGAGTCTGCCAAAAGAAAGAATGTAAATAAGAACAACTGAAGTCAATCTTTTGGGCTAATAAAGCTTTGAAAGCAACATAGGGAGAAGTGAAAGTAACAAGACAATAAGGTAGATGGTTAAGAAAAAGAGTAAGAATCAGAAGTAGTGGATTTGGAAAGATGAGAGGTTTGAAATTTTTAGTAGTCAAAAATAGCAGATTACGCAGAAAGATATAGAAAGGTGAAGCCATTGGATTTGGCATTTTGCAAGTAATCTTGGCAAGAACAGTTTCAGTTTTTTTTCTAGAAGAAAATACCCTTCAGACATTAAGAGATCAATAGGAGGTGGGGACTGTGAAAGCTGAGTCAATGAGAGTAAACTATTTTCTTCAAAATATGAATTAAACTATTTTCTTCAAAAATGAATTAACATAAAAGTTAAGAGAGGCATGAGAGAAGAAAATTTTCTTCATATACCTTTAAGGGAAACTATACACTTTTGTGAAAAGGAACAAAACAACTGAAATTGGAAAAATAAAAGTAAAGGGAAAAACTTCTATCATGAGAGAGGACATACCCACTTTAAGAGATTCAGGATAATGTTCTCTCAACATGGTTTGAAATAAATTAATGTGGATTTGGTAGTTTTTGGGGTTTTGTTTGTATATACTTTAAATGTGCTTAATTTTTTAAAGAGCCAGTTTATATACCAAATTTACATCTCCTCTGTATCTTTTTATAGTTGCTTTATTATACATTTATAGGGATTCAATGATCACTTTAAAACAAGTAATAATTTGCATTTTTCATTGGGCATTTACATTATTTTCTTCTAAGCAATCATTATACTGCTATGGGTTTCCCTCTGGATTCATTTATCATAAGCACATCTTGAAAAATATTCAATTTGCACATTTTTCTCTTCAATTCTTTTCTTTATAAACCAGTGGGTTATATATCCCATCATATTTTATTGCCTAAAATAGCTGCTGAACAAGAAAATATATAATTTACACTCCTTTATCTGCAGGTGAAATTGATCATTGTAGCACAATTTTGTCTAAGGTAAAACCCAGAATTTTTTTCTCTTTGCAGAGATATTCATTTTATATTCTGAAAGCAGACCCATTTTATGTAGTAATAATTATAACACTAGATTAGGAGTCAGTTCAATTCTCTCTTTGGCTAATGTTGAATATTGGCTCTAGTTCTCTTCTGCAAATAACCGATAACTATCCCTCATTAGCTCTAAACTGTGTTTTCTCTCATCATTAACATGAAAATGACACTGTGTATGTTATTCCACATAAAGGTTTACAGGATGGAAGTAAATATGACTTTGCTTTTTTAGAAAATATATTTGGTATTGACATTCTATCAACATTAGCTAGCATTTACTTTCTCTGGAAGCACACACACACAAAGTTAATTCTCCAGGTACATTACCAAGAACTATGATTTTGTATAGTCTACATAGTGTGTACATTTTCCTAAGAATTCTCAGACTGTGATTTCTTCTACCTATACATCAACTATAACAAGTATGCTACGTGGTGAAATTTTTGTAAAAGACACAATGGTAATATAAATATGAGAAAGCCGTAGTGGTTAAATGTGGTATCTAGCACCAAACTGCCTAGGTTTGAATTGACTTTGCCACTCATGAGCTATATAATTAGGGATAAATTACTTGATTGATTTCTTAGTGAATCAGTTTCTTCATTTGCAAAGTAGGTATAACAATAAAACCTGTATCATTAGATAGTCACGAGGGTTAAAGAGATTAAAGTACTTAGAGGCACACCTAGCATATATTAGTGATATATGGGATGAGCTATAATTATTAGTTAACATTTATTGTATGCTTAATGTGTTTCAAAGAGTTTCATGTAGATTATGTAATTAAATTATCAGAATAGAGCTATGAATTGATTCTGTTTTTATTCTTCTTTTACAAATGAAGAAACTGAAGACAGAGTGACCAAATCATTTGTCTGAGGCTGCACAGATAGTGAGTGCTAGAATCACGGTTTTTATCCAGACCTCTGGGCTGCCTTAACTGCCACAATACTTCCCACCTAGTACATATGATCAAACTTCACTAAAAATCAGAAAAATTGAATTGATTCTGTATGAAGTCATAAACAAATTCCAGGATTTCCTAAAATATTTCAAGGAATTTTATTTTCAGATGCAGTATTGAAAATTAAACTTGCATGCTGAGAAATTACAGAGTTCTGGAGGCTGATTATGAGAACTCAGTAAAAAAAGTAGAGGTTTCAGAGATGTGAAGCATGTTTATTAACTGCAAAACATTTAAACTGTGGCATGTTTTCAATGTTTTTTTTTAGAGTCAAGGACCTAAATGTTTTATATTCGAGAACGCTTGAGGAATCTGAGGAAAAACGTAAAATTCACCCTAGAAAGACATACTTATGTACAATTTAGAATATAATTTTGAGTGTTTGTGACCACCCCCACCAGAACCCTTTCTACTTTCCAGGATAAGAAGCCCTGACTAACGTACTATGTAAAGTTCTATCTAGCACCTTTGCTGCATCTTATCTAAAAACTCAATGTATCAAGACATACAGACATAAAAAATACATCTACTTGCAAATTTATGTTAGCCCCCATTTTTCAGATATGAAACTTGAATAGATGCTTTAAATATTTACCATTTGATTTTGCAAAAAGAAAGTCAAACGAACAAGCCCTCCCTTTAGTTTTAACTACAGCCTCATCATGCAACTTTTAGTGTTCTGAAGTCAAATTATGTTCACCTGGGGACAGAATTCCTATTCTCATAAATGATTTTTTAAAACAATAGTTAAGGAAAGCCACTTATTTCCTGCAATTTTTAATGAAGTGGCAGGGCTGACTGCTCTGATTCTGGTTTATTTTGGGAACTTGGGGCATAACTCCCTGAAGAAGTAAGCTACATTATCCTCCGTATTACTCTCCTCAGAGCCTGCTGCCTTCTGAAGTAGATCCTTATTTCATTTTAACAAGTAAGGCTCTGTAAATTCCAAAGAGTCTTAAAATCACCAGCATTTCAGAAATGCAGCTTGGCCCATCTCTTCTGTATAATAGGCAAGGTTTTTCACATATTCTAAGCAAAGCATGTCATCCTAGACATTTTAAGAATGAAATGAGTTTCTCTTAGAAAAAAAAATGCATAAGTGATTGTTGCAGTTTGCCAAAACAGCACTATCCTAAACTATGGGATATTTTAGTAAAAATAAATATTTAAGGACTTTGAGATTTTTTTATGTGAGTAGAGACTAATTTAGGTCTAAGTTGCTTATGGTTTGTAATTAGCTAATTCCATTTTAGCCATTTAAAAAAGAATAACATTTAGTTTTTCTGAACTACAATGTTAAAAAAATACATATATACGTATGTATTTGTGATTATGTGCTGTAATAAAAATTACATACTTGGTCTCTGCCTCTGGTTTCTGGCACATGGTCCATAAAGTCCCTGGAATCCCCAGTGATAAGAGTCTTTCATATGCTAATGACCCAATTCATTAGCATATGAAAGACACTTTATTTAGGGGCTGGGGGTTCCTAAATAGCTTCTAGATAGGTGATGGTCACTAGAAAGACCAGGGCATGATTAGAGGGTTGGGGCTCCAAGCCCTACCACCCTAACCGTCTTGGAGAATTTAGGGGCTAAAAGTTCTGTTAATCAATTATTATCTCTGTGAAAAAGCTGGGTGAATCTGTAGTATTCTTAAGACACAGTATTCTTAAGTTTTAACACTGATTCAATTTAGACTACAGATTTTTAAAAATCATTTACGTTAGAAAAATAAGGGAGAATAATAAACTTGAGTGAATTTAGTCTTTTTCCATCTAGTGAAACTATTATTCAATAAAAATAATCAAATTAGATTTTTTTATATTCCTACCAGATACATCATTTTTTCATTTAAAAATATGAACAAGTACATAAACAAGACAAACTAGATGTAATCTTCTATAGGAGCCATTTTTTTTTTTTAATCAGAGCAATGACAAACAATGATAGCTTTAAATATTTATTTGGGACAAAAATAACTATCAATTATATGTCATGAAACACAAATACATACACACATATACAAACACACATACATAATTTTTCTTAAAGAGCTACAAATTATTTGATCCATCTTATGTGTGTATATGAGTACCATTTATTGGAAAACTCTAATATTATCGACATGAAAATAGCCCGGGCGGGGTGGCTCACACCTGTAATCTCAGGACTTTGGGAGGCCAAGGCAGGTAGATCATGAGTTCAGGAGTTCAAGACCAGCCTGGCCAAGATGGTGAAACCGTGTCTCAAGTAAAAATACAAAAATTAGCCCATCACAGTGGCAGATGCCTGCAATATCAGCTAGTCCGGAAGCTGAGGCAGGAGAATCACTTGAATCCAGGAGGCGGAGGTTGCAGTGAGCTGAGATTCACGCCACTGCACTCTAGCCTGGGCAACAGAGCAAGACACCGTCAAAAGAAAGAAAGAAGGAAAGAAGGAAAGAAGGAAGGAAGGAAGGAAGGAAGGAAGGAAGGAAGGAAGGAAGGAAGGAAGGAAGGGAAGGAGGGAGGGAGGGAGAGAGAGAGAAAGAAAGGATGACAAATTTTTCAAACACTTAAAACCTTTGTTTTCCCTCCCTAGTGTTTTATTATATTATATATTTTAATTAACAATATTTTATATGATTTGGAAGATAATTTAGTAAAGGCTTATAAAAATGATATTACATTTTTATAATATCATTATTATAAAAATGATATTACATTTTTATATTATAAAAATGATATTACATTTTTATAATATTATAAAAATGATATTACATTTTTATAATATTATAAAAATGATATTACTTTTTATAATATTATAAAAATGATATTACATTTTTATAATATAAAAATGATATTACATTTTATATCATTATTATAAAAATGATATTACATTTTTATATCATTATTATAAAAATGATATTACATTTTTATAATATCATTATTATAAAAATGATATTACCTGTAGACAAAATAGTAAATTGTAAAATATCTAAGGTTTGTTTATTTTAATAAGATAATCTAAAATGACAAAAGAAAACATAGATTCGTCAGCAACCAAGATTCAGTACCCTGAGGCAAATGCACCCTTTTAGAGAAAAAGGTGTTCTGAAGATGCATTCCTACCTTATAGGTCTTGATGGTACTCAGATTCCATTTGCTGAGTATTTGAAAGGTTGAATGAATCTGCTTTTTGATAAGGCTGTATTGAAATAGAGAAAATGGGCTTTTTCCTCTTCTTTCTTCATTTCTTATATTTTATAAATAATGATACTCTTAAAGAAACATAATGGGGTTGTTTATGGTAAGTATGGTCTTAAGGCATCCTAAGTAGAGTCAATTCTAAACCAAGCAGTCTGCAGAAGTGGGTCAGTCCCAGAGATTCTGCATTTGAGCTTCATAATTCCACTTGTATGAACAAAAGTATATGACTCAGGCTGCTACGCACTGTTCCTGTTCTGATTCATGCACATGTACTATATACATATATATATTATATTCATCAAGTATATTTGAAACCTAGATATAAAAATATTTAATATAGAACACTCATAAATATTTCAGCTGCTTGTGTTTGTTCACCAAACACTTCAGTTATATTTACTAAATGCCAGGCACTATTCTAAGAGTTGTTTGAATAGTGATTAACTGTAAATAATACATGGTATTGTTATCTCTATCACACAGGTGAGGAAACTGAGGCATTAGAGTTGTTAACTTACCCAAGGTCACAGCTAGACAATAGCTGATGGCACCTAGAGGATGATGGTTACCAGGAATTGAATAAGATGACTCTGGCCATACATGCTGCTGTCCCCAGTGTGGTTCAGATATTGGAAAGGCTGACTTCTTGTCTAGTTATAGGGTCCCCCAGTACCCCCTTCCACTTTCTTTCTGTTTCCTTCGCCATTCTGAGATGCAGCTAGCTGCACGATTTGCCCAACAGGGTTAACGCAAACCAGAACCCTGAACATTCCCAGGCAATGATAAAGGTATCTAGGCTGTTGCCTAAGACATTGAAAGAAACTGGCCCTGACCCTCAGCCATAAAATTCCTTAAACCCTCATATAAACTCTATAACCTGACCCCCTTGCTGCCAACATAACTAGGTATAACACTCCTTTCCCTTGACATTTTTGCAAGGATTTCTGCAGCCCACTCTGTACGTTTCTTTAATAAATGCTTTGGACTGATAATTGCGACATTTAGTACTTCTTTCTTTGGAATCCCAACCAGCCCCATCTCAGGGACTATTTGGGATATTCTTTTATGGGAATGTCCCTGCCACCACTTTTAGGGTGATTTCACCCACAGGTTCTGCTGACAATACAGTATGCCTGGTTATCTTCTTTCCCTGGAAACTATCTGGAACAAGGTAGATGAGGTTATCTTGACCCCTTAAATTGAAATAAAATTAGGTATTTTAAGATCATGAATTGAAGCATGTATAAAGCATGTGCTCAGCAGGTCTGATTTGAGTGGAAGGGCCATGATGAGGTAGAAAACAAATGTATTTGTAAAAGTTTAATAGGACTAGAGTATAAAAACATACTTGATATTATACTACCATGAATCAAGGATAAGTACAATGGAGGAGTGACATATGAAGGCAGGTATTTAAAGAAGTTTATTGTCTTTTTTTTTTTTTTTAACAGTGTGGATTAGTGTGAAAAGTTTATGGCAGAGAGTGTAGAGGAGTGACTGGGAAAAAGCAAGAAATATTGCCAAGGTAGTTTTCACTATTTCTGAGATTATTTAAATAGTAAACATCACAAATTCAAATACCTTTATGGGTCATACTGATACACAACCATATTTATTAAAACACAGAGAAAGCTAAGGATTTAATGAGAAGCTATTCTACCTAAAAGCATTTAAATTCCATTAAAAAGGCAATTTCAGCCCCAGAAAAATCAATATTTATCCTCCTATATATTCTAAGATGGCAAGATGGCTGCTATAAAATGAGAAGGAAATGGATACAAAAGATTTCTTAGACAAAAGATTTCTTAGACCAAAAAAAAAAAATACAGCCCAATGACTAGCTATGTAAGGAGAATTAGGATGAAGCATGTGTCAATGACAGCAGCAACATTCCTAAGTTGGATTGCAGGAAAATGATGAATTTGGAGGAAGAGTCATTAAAAGTAGATCCACTTTAGAAACCTTTGTTTGGTTTCCTGTTTCTTTCCAGCTTACCAGTTATGACAAGTACTCCAGCCAAGGTTTTTAAGTAAGATAGTACCTTATCATAGTCTAGCATCCTTAAATAGGCATTATTTCTTTCTACTAACCAGGAGCTTCTCTAAAGTAGACATATTGTCAGAAGATTTTTTTAAATTTTCAAAATCTATGCAACTCATCTCAGTGCCAGCATCCTCTTTTATCTAGGAATTGTTTATCACTGAGTCAACAACATATTTTTTCTCTTATAAGGCAGTTTTACTGAGGCTTAACATTTGATGTCACTAAATGAAAGTGATACACGACTCATATCAAAATGGAAAAAGCCAATCTCCGAACTCCATTTTAAATAAATAGAGCTTACAACCCCTCAGCGAGATGAATAAGCTTTTTTGCTTTATTGGCTTTTGACAAAGTTGTAGACACAAACATGGATTGGCTGATGCAGCAGAAATTTTGCAGTTTAGTAGTTCTAAGATACTATATTGCACTTGCTAAAATACACACAAGTATCTAATATTCTTTTGTGGAGTTAAATATGCCCTGTAACTTTCAATGAAATGCCAAAATATATATTTCTGTATGCAGATGGTCTTTGAGAATAATTTTACCTAGCTAAATGTTCATGAAGTAGTTTTATTTTTTCATGATTCCTTACTATGAATATATTGCTGTATGAAATATAAACAGACACTACATTTTTCCTACCTAAACCATTCAATAGCTGTATAATTTGATATTTGCATCTAGAGTGACAAATTTTGCTAGGAGAGCTAGATCATGCCAAATAGGTGTTCAAATGATGTTTACAAGAAAGACATTTCATGTTTATAGTATAATGTTAAGTGGAAAAGCAGAATACAAAATTGCATGCACAGTGTAGCGATTTTCAAACATGGCTTCAAATTCTTTAATATTTATTCCACTAAGAGGAAACGTCCAAGTACCTACCCTCTTGAATCTGGATGAGTTTGTGGACTGCTTCAACCAACAGAATGTGGGACAAGTGTTGCCAATTGACTTCTGAGACTAAATCAGAAAAAGCCGTGTTCCTGAGCCACCATGTAAGAAATCAGACTACCCTGAGACTGCCACTGTGGAGAAGCCACAGAAGGTGCTCTGACAGTTCCGGCTGAGCCCAGCCCACATAGACAGGTGAGTGAAAATGCCCGATGGAACTGGACCCTGCCGATAAGCTGTTCTAGCCTGTCACCATTTCATGTCCCTAGCTGAAGACCCAGATGTAGGAGGACAGAGGAAGACTGGCCTCCATGTGTCCTTTTTGAATTTCTAAATAATCAGATTCTTGTATATAATAAACTGTCTCTTTACATACTGGTGGTGTGTTGTATTAACTTCACATCAGCTTTCAAAGGATAATAGTTATATTTTTCAGGTCTTGTGCAAGCAAATTGTGGCAAAACAATTTTTATTTTTTAATAAAAATAAAAATTAAAAATTATTAAAAACAAAGTGAATACGTATTCAAAACTCATTACTTCGTAATTATTTTATTACTTGAAAGTAGAGATTGTGTCTTGAACTTGAGCCAAATGTATCATATTGCATTTTAAATACTAACTTAGTCAATGGTTATAATATATTCATATATTGTGTGTATATATATATATATATATATATATATATATATATAAAACCATGAAATATTCACATGGTCATAATCTATGAACCTTGCATATTTGAAAGTTATTGATCGTGTCTTAATAATAATGAAATGTTTAAAAATTTAAGAATCCACCATCAAAACATTTTTAGGTATATATGCAGTACTAGAATATGGAGGTATGAATTAATAGGTCCTAGAAAAAACATTATATTTGTTTTTCTTTCATTTTAAGAGCTTGGATCAACATATACTCTGTTGAATCAGTCATATATGTCAATATCTAGTGATTATTAAAAGTAATACACGCAAATGATTTTATGATAAAAATTATTTATATTGTACATCAGTTACATGCACTAAAAATCCCAACACTTCTTGTAAATGGCCCCAAAGCCCTGATGAAAAATACTTTGCCAAAATAAACCCATGTGAAATCTAATTTTGCTTGAGCTTCTTATGAAATTAATTTTAATGCCTAATCATACAGGCTTCATGCTGACAAAATCCATACTGAAGTTAATGAGACAGGTGTCTCAAAGGAATATGTGATTTTTTATTCTCCTCAAACAGTAGTAGTTCAAAGATATGAACTTCAATAATTTCTTCTCCATCAACCTTTACAAGAAAATAATAAAAAGCCCTCAAATATATTAGAACTAAATCTTCGTGGAAAATTAGGCAAAGAGTTAAGTTAGGTTTACAACATCAAAATATTCAATGACAAAACTCAATTATTCTCTTTTATTTTTATAAGTAATTGTCTTTGCATTAAAATATTTTTGTTGTATGTTTTTATCTCTCCCTCTCATCTCAAATATGTTCAAGTCACACATCCTAATGAAGATGAGAAATTCTGCTTCAAAAAATAACAGAATAGACCAGGTGTGGGTGGCTCACACATATAATCCCAACACTTTGGGAGGCCACCTGAGGTCAGGAGTTTGAGACCAGCCTGGCCAACATGGTGAACCCCATCTCTACTAAAAAATACAGAAATAAGCTGAGCGTGGTAGCATGAGCCTGTAATCTCAGCAACTTAGGAGGCTGAGTCAGGAGAATCTCTTGAACCCAGGAGGCTGAGGTTGCAGTGAGCCGAGATTGCTCCACTGCACTCCAGCCTGGGCCACAGAGGGAGACTCCATCTCAAAAACAAACAAACAAACAAACAAACAAATAAATGAATAAATAAAATAACAGAATAGATTTAAGATACATACTAAAACTTTTTGACAAGCCATTGTGTAATTGACTGTAAATGCCAAGGTCATGATTTTATCTATAATCTGTGGAAATCTATACTCTTACTAAGATGTTCCAAAGATTACCCAAAACCAATGATTCAAATTAGCACATAAATATTTTATAAATATTTAAGTACATAAATATTTTATACATTTTAATTTAAAAATACACAATTGTCTTTGCAAATATCAGATGCCTTCAATATTTTATTTTATCTTTAGACTATAAATAATGGGATTATATTTTAAAATGGTATAAATGTTTTTACCCTTTGTTAGTCTAAGATGTTTTTTAAAAATGAATATTGGCTGAGTGTGGTGGCTCACACCTGTAATCCCAACACTTTAGGAGGCCCAGGTAGGTGGATCACAAGGTCAGGAGATTGAGACCATCCTGGCCAACATGGTAAAACCCTGTCTCTATTAAAAATACAAAAATTAGCCAGGTGTGGTGGCACACGCCTGTAGTCCCAGCTACTTGGGAGGCAGAGTCAGGAAAATCACTTGAACCAGGGAGGCGGAGGTTGCAGCAAGCCAAGATCATGCCACTGCACTGCAGCCTGGCAACGGAGCAAGACTCCATCTTAAAAATATATATATATTATATTTATCAGCCATGGTAAAAACACTTATAAGATTCAGAAACATCTGTTCAGTACTTGACATTGTTTAGCAGTTGTCCTGCTACCACACAGTGAATGCTTACAGCTTTTAAAATAATTTGAGGGTACAAAGAGTTTCAGAGTATGACTTTACATTTTTGAAGAGGTTGTAATTGTATGGCCTTTTATTTCTAAAGAGCTTTTAAATAATGCTAAAGAAGAAATGTCTAGTCATAAAATAATAATCACCATCTGAACATATCAAACCCAATCAAATCAGAAACAGCATTAAAACAATATGCCAAAAATGTTCACCAAATATGCAAAATATTGTGATAGGACTTAACAAGCTCTTGGGTTTTGCAAAATAGTTTTATACCCCTACAAATTAAAGATTATCTTGAAACAAAACACACTAAATTAGAAAACAGAACTTCCTATATATTCAACAAAAAATTATGAGTTCTATTTTTTTAACAATGCAAAAAAGACATTTTAATAGACTATTTTTTAGAAGAATTTCATGTTCATAGCAAAATTGAGCAGAAGGTACAAAGATTTTCCATATGCCCCCCGAACCCTACACATGCATAACCTCCCACACTATTAAGATCCTTTTCAGAGTGTCACAATTAACACAATTAATTTGTCACAATTAATGAACCTATATTAACACTTAATAATCACGCAAAGTCTGTATTTTACATCAGGGTTTACTCTAGGTGTTGTACATTCTACGGGCTTGGGTTTGTATAATGACATGTATCTGCCATTATAGTATTGTTCAGAGTATTTTCATTGCCCTAAACATTCTCTGTCCTCTGCCTATTAACTTCTCCCTCTCTGCTAAACCCCTGGCAATCATTGATCTTTTTACTGTCTCTGTTATTTTGCCTTTTATAGAAAGTCACATAGTCGAAAATATACAGTATGTAGTCCTTTTAGATTGGCTTCTTTAAATTAGTAACATGCATTTAAGTTTCCTCCATGTGTTTTTCATGGCTTGATAGCGCATTTCTCTATAGCACTAAATAATATTTCATTGTCTGAATGTACCACAGTTTATTTTATCCATTCACCTATTGAAGGGCATCTTGGTTGCTTCCAAGTTTTGGCAATTATGAATAAAGCTGCTATAAATATTCACATAAAAATGTTTGTGTGAACACAAGTTTTCAACTCCTTTGAGTAAATACAGTGGAATGCTTACCATATGATTGCTAGACCATATGGTAAGAATATGTTTAGTTTGGTAAAAAACTGCCAAACTGTCTTTCAAAGTGGCTGTACCATTTTGCATTCCTATCAGCAATGGCTGAGAGTTTCTGTTGCTAGAAAACATTTTTGACTCAATAATTTTGGCTTAGATGTAATAAGAGGGCAGGAATTTCCCCTGGTACCTCCCATCTGAAAAGACAAAAAAAAAAAAAAAAAAAACCAAAAAACAGAATAAAAAGAAAAAACATGCCTATGAGAGAGTAGCTTGCAAGACATTGGATGAGGCAACAAAGGAAAGTGATTCCCACCAAACAGAATGTAAAGTCCAATAATTGAAATAGTACTGGGTAGAGCAGTTAGAAAGAGTTTTGTCTCAACAATAGGCAAAAAAAAAAAGCTAAAATAAACGCTGCTGATATTGTCTTAGAAGATTAAAAGCAAGACTCTTTCCTATTAACTTAACAATGTTCCATAGTAATGATTAAGAATGTTATGCTGAACGCGGTGGCTCATGCCTGTAATCCCAACACTTTGGAAGGCCGAGGTGGGTGGATCGCCTGAGGTCAGGAGTTTTAAGACCAACATGGAGAAACCCAGTCTCTACTAAAAATACAAAGCTAGCCGGGCATGGTGGCGCATGCCTGTAATCCCAGCTACTCAGGAGGCTGAAGCAGAATTGCTTGGTAGCTTAACAAAACTTAACAGTCATGTAAAGAGGAAATCCATAATGAGTATTGGGAGAACCCACCCCCAATATTTCAGTGTGGGTTCTTTCCATTTTCCATAAATGTCGGCCAGCTGAGAAATAAAGAGAGACAGTACAAAGAGAGGAATGTTATAGCTGGGCCGCCAGGGGTGACATCACATATCAGTAGGACTGTGATGCCCACCTGAGTCTTAGACCAACAAGTTTTTATTAAAGATTTCAAAAGGGGAGGGGGTGTAAGAACAAAGAGTAGGTACAAAGATCACATGCTTCAAAACAACAAAAAGCAGAACCACTGATAAGGGTCTAACAAAGATCACATGCTTCTGAGAGAGCAGGGAAAAGGGCAAAAGCAGAACCACTGATAAGGGTCCAACAAAGATCACAGGGCAAAGGGCAAAAACAGAACCACTGATAAGGGTCCAACAAAGATCACAGGGCAAAGGGTAAAAGCAGAACCACTGATAAGGGTCTATGTTCAGCGGTGCATGTATTGTGTTGGTAAACATCTTAAATAACAGAAAACAGAGTTTGAGAGCAGAGAATCAGTCTGACCACAAATTTACCAGGGCTGAGTTTTCCCAACCCTAGTAAGCCTGAGGGTTCTGCAGGAGACCAGGGCGTATCTGTCTTTATCTCAACTGCACAACACAGACATTCCCAGAGTGGCTGTTTATAGACCTCCCCCCAGGAACACATTCTTTTCTCAGGGTATTAATATTAATATTCCTTGCTAGGAAAATAATTTAGTGATGTGTTTCCTACTTGCACGTCTGTTTATAGGCTCTCTGAAGAAGAAAAATATGGCTCTTTTTGCCCGACCCCACAGGCTGTCAGACCTTATGGTTGTCTCCCCTTCTTCCATAAAAATCGCTATTATTCTGTTCTTTTTCAAGGTGCACTGATTTCATATTGTTCAAACACACGTTTTACAATCAATTTGTACAGTTAACACAATTATCACAGTGGTCCTGAGGTGACGTACATCCTCATCTTATGAAGATGACAGGATTAAGAGATTAAAGTAAAGACAGGCATAAGAAATTATAAAAGTATTATTTGAGAACTGATAAATGTCCATATTAAGATGAAATCTTCACAATTTATGTTACTCTTCCGCGGCTCCAGCCGGTCCCTCCATTCGGGGTCCCTGACTTCCCGTAACAAAGGAGAGAAAAAAATTATCAATTAAATTTACCCAGAAATTATACAGATACTAGAATTAGTGGATACTTTTTATTATAATGGCACCAATGGAAAAAAAATCCAAAAGGAAAGATTAAACATGTTAAATTGAAGCATAGAAGATATATATTAAAAAAAAAAAAAAAAACAAGCTAAACTTCTAGAAATGAAAACTAGAATGTCTGAAGTAAAAAATATAATTAATGGCATTAGGATGATTAAACATGGCAAAAAAAAATGTTTGGTGAGCACGAAAACAAGGAAAAAGAAACTACTCAAAATAAATCACACAATGAAGAATAGACGAATTAACAAATTACCAGTGAGCTGTGAAACAACTTCACATAGCCTACCTAATATTGTAAAATAGGAGATTCCAATAGGGGATGAACAGGAAAAAATAAAATGAATGCTTTTATAAAAAATTATTAAAATAAAATTTATTAAAAATAAAAATAATCATTTATTAAAAGCATTATTCAAGTTGGTATTTCAAGAACAGTTACCAATTTGATGAAAATTGTATAGCCACAGATCTAAGAAACTCAACAAACCCCAAGCTTAAGAAACATAATGAAATTAGGCTGGGCACCTTGGTTCATGCCTGTAATCCCAGCACTTTGGGAGGATGAGGAGGGCAGATCACCTGATGTCAGCAGTTCAAGACCAGCCTGTCCAACATGATAAAACCCTGTCTCTCCTAAAAATACAAAAAAATTAGCCAGGCATGGTGGCAGGTACTTGTAATCCCATCTACTCTGGAGGCTGAGGAAGGAGAAGCGTTTGAACCAGGGAAGCGAAGGTTGCAGTGAGCCTAGATTGCGCCATTGCATTCCAGCCTGGGTGACAAAAGTGAGATTCCATCTCAAAAAAAAAAAAAAAAATCATAATGAAATCAAATACAAGCAGGCCACAATAAAATTGCTTAAACAAGTGAAAATCCTAAAATCAGCAAAAGAAGAGGTGGTGGGGCTATATTAATATCAAAGTAAGTTGATTACAGAGGAAAGAATATTACCAGGGCTTTAAAAGGTGAATTTTATAATCATAATGCAGTCCATTTATCAACAGGACCTGAACAAACCTAAATTATTATATATATATCATAACAGAAGTTCAAAATTCATAAAACAAGAGCTGTAGAACAATAAGGAGAAATAGGCAATTCTACAAATAAAGTCAGAGATTTTAACACCTCTGCTGGTATTTGTTATAAAAAGGATTTTTAAAAAATCAGTAAGTATGTAGAAGTTTAGCAACACTATCAACCAACTTGCTAGTGGTTGATATATATTTATAGAAATTTCCATCCAATAATGGCAAAATGTTCATTTTTTTCAAGTGTATATGGACCATTTACCATGATAAAACCTACTTAAAACTATAAAATAAGTCTTGACAAGTTTAAAAAGTTCTAAATTATACAAACTATGTACTATGAACACAATAAAATTAAACCAGAAAGCAATTCCAAAAAGATATCTGGAAAAACAAATACATATGTGCAAACTGAATAACTCTTACGCAAATAATCAATGCGTCAAAGAAAATCTCAAAAGCAAAATTAAAATTTATTTTAAATTAAATACAAATAAAAATGCAACACATCTATGAAAATGCAAAATTACCTGCAAATTTTGCATAATAAAGCTAATGCAGTATAAGAAGGAAATTCATTGCAGTAAACATTTACATTAGAAAAGATTAAATTCTCAAATGAATGATCTCAGTATCCACCTTAAGAAACCAGTAGAAGAGGAGCAAAGAAAACCCAAAATATGAGTGAAGAAATTAATAGAAGAGTCAACATCAATGAAATAGAAAACAGAAAATAATAAAATGAAAAACAATTTCTCTGAAAAGATCAATAAAATTGATAACTATCTGACCAACTTGATTAGAAATAAGAGTATAAAAATTCCAATATCAGTGATTGAAGAGTTGACTACCATACAATCTACAAATGTTAAATGGGTGATAAGAAAATATTCTGAACAACTTTATACAAAGGCATTTGACAATTTAAATGAAATGAAATTGTGTAAATGATACAAACTACCAAAACTCACCCAGAAGTAATAGAGAATCTTAAGGGCACTATATTGATAAAAATAAATGTATAATCGAAATCCTTCTTTTGCAGAGACTTCAGATTCAGATGAATTCATTGGTTAACTCTAACCATTATTTAAGAAATAATACTATCCACAAATTTTGCAAAGATTTGGAAGAAAGATGATAGTTCCCACTTCATATCTTCATGTCCACATTTCTTTAATTCAAAAGACGGACATTATGGGAAACTACATTTGAGCATTTCACATAAACATAGATGCAAAAATTAAGACCAATTACAGCAAATAGAATAAAAAAATGTATAATAAAGATAATACACTATGACCAAGTGGAATTTATCCCAGGAATGCAAAGTTTGTTTAAAATTTGAAAATTAATCATTGTCAGTCATGGTATTAGCAGAATAAAATTAAATATATGATCATACAAAAAGATGCAAAATAAAATATTTGCACAAAATTCAAGTTCATTTCCTACTAAAAACTCTTAGCAAACCAGGTATAACACATAACATTCTTAACTTAATAAAGAAAATCTATGAAAACCATACAGCTAGCGCCTTACTTAATGAAGAAAGACGTAGTGCTTTTTCTGTAAGGTCAAAAACAAGTCAAAGAGGTCTACGTGCACCACTTACTAAACTAGATGCTGAGGCCAAATCCTAAAACGTAACAGTTAATTAATGTTCTTGCATGAAATAACACGTAAATATTATTGTTAGTTTTACAAATATTATACAAAAGTAGATTGCTAAAATATATAATTTAGAAGGTTGTAAGAAATAAAGGTTAAATTTACTCAAAATAATTATAATTCAATTGGATAAATCTAGGGATATTTCTTTTATTTTTTCCATGTGTTTGCTTCACATATGTGTAATGATGAATATAAGACAGATTAATTAGCTTTTAAAAAATATGTGATGCATAAACAAAAGTAAATGAATGTGTGCTAAATCATTTATTAACATTATTTATTAAGTAAGCAGTGATGCCTGATAGCAATAGCAAGTAAAACCTCACAAAGAGAAGCTCACATAAAAGCTATTGTCAAAATGCAGTCTTTTCATTTTTGTTGCACTTAGAGGCATGAGCTATTAAAACAATTCCAACAGCTTTTTTTTTTTCTTTTTTGAGATGGAGTCTCACTCTGTTGCCCAGGCTGGAGTGCAGGGGCACCATCTCTGCTCACTGCAACTTCCACCTCCCAGGTTCAAGCAATTCTCCTGCCTCAGCCTCCCAAGTAGCTGGGACTACAGGCGTGTGCCCCCATGTCCAGCTAATTTTTGTTGTATTTTCAGTAGACACAGGGTTTCACCACGTTAGCCAAGATGGTCTCAATCTCCTGACCTCCTGATCTGCCGGCCTTGGCCTCCCAAAGTTCTGGGATTACATGTGTGAGCCACCCTGCCTGGGCTCCAACAGCTTTCAAATGAGTACAACTTAATACCACACTTATTTCAGTATGCATACTTGTTTGCAATCAAGATAGTAATGCATTCCAGAATTTCTATTTATTTGTGTATTTATGTATGTATGTATTTATTTTCACTAAATTACTGAGAGAAGTCAAGCCTCTATAATTAACATTTCAGATAAAATACCTTAATATTTTTCTTTTAAATTCTTTTTCATTGATACATAATATTTTACATATTTATATATTACCTGTGATATTTTGTTACATGCATAAAATGTGTAATAATCAAGTCAAGGTATTTGGGATATCCAACACCTTAAGTATGTATCATTTTATGTGTTGGGAACATTTCAAGTCTTATCTTCTAGCTACTTTGAAATATCAATATATTATAATTAACTATTCCCTACTTTGCTATCAAACACTAGAACTTACACCTTCTAGCTAACTGTATGTTTGTACCCATTAATCAACTTTTCTTTATCCTCCCACCACACCCCAAACCTTCCTAACCTTGAGATCAACTTTTTTTAGTCCCCACATATGAGTGAGTACACGTGATAATTGTCTTTTGGTGCCTGGCTTATTTCACGTAACATGACCTGTGGTTCCTTCTATATAGCTGAAAATGACATGATTTTATTCCTTTTTGTGGCTGAATAGTATTTCATTGTGTATATATACCATATTTTCTTTATCCATTCATTTGAACATTCAGATTGATTCCATATATTTGCTGCTGTGAACAGTGGTACAATGAACTTGCCAGTGTAGATATCCCTTTGTTATAGTGACTTATTTTTCTTTGGATAAATACAGTTAAGTGATTGCCAAATTATGTGGTTATCAGGAAGAAGTGAAAATGGCTGGTTCCTGCCTTAACTGATGACATTATCTTGTGAAATTCCTTCTCCTGGACAATGAGTCTCAGAAGCTCCCTGCTGAGCACCTTGTGATCCCCGCCCCTGCCCACCAGAAAACAACCCCTTTGACTGTAATTTTCCACTACCTACACAAATCCTATAAAACTGCCCCACCCCATCTCCCTTCACTGACTCCTTTTTCAGACTCAGCCCGCCTGCACCTAGGTGACATAAATAGCTTTATTGCTCAAACAGATCCTGTTTGGTGGTCTCTTCACATGAATGTGTGTGATATTTGGTGCCATGACTTGGATCAGGGGACCTCCCTTGGGAGATCAATCCCCTGTCTTCCTGCTCCATGAGAAACATCCACCTATGACCTTGGGTCCTCAGACCAACCAGTCCAAGGAACATCTCACCAAATTTAAATCAGGTAAGCTGCCTCTTTTTACTCTCTTCTCTAACCTGTCTCACTACCCCTCAACCTCTTTCTCTTTTCAATTTTGGCATCACCCTTCAATCTCTCCCTTCCCTTAATTTCAGTTCCTTTTCTTTTCTGGTAGAGACAGAGATGCATTTTATCCATGAACCCAGAAGTCCCGCGCCGGTCATGGACTTGGGAAGACAGTCTTCCCTTGGTGTTTAATCACTGCGGGGACGCCTACCTGATTATTCAACCACATTTCAGAGGTGTCTGATCACCAAGGGGACGCTTGCTTTGATCCTTCACCTTGGTGGCAAGCACCACCTCACCTTGGGGGGCAAGTACCCCCCCCATGCCTATACCCTCTCTTTTCTCTGGGCTTGCCTCCTTCACTATGGACAGACTTCCACCCTCCATTCCTCCTTCTTCTCTGTTAGCCTCTGTTCTCAAGAACTTAAAACCTCTTCAACTCACACCACACTTAAAACCTAAATGCCTTAATTTCTTCTGCAATACCACTTGACCCCAATACAAACTCAACAATTGTTCCAAATAGCCAGAAAATGGCACTTTTGATTTTTCCATCCTACAGAATCTAGATAATTATTGTCATAAAATGGGCAAATGGTTTGAGGTGCCTGATGTCCAGGCATTTTTTTACACATTGGTCCTTCCCTAGTCTCTGCTCCCAATGCACCTTCAAGGTGTACAATAATAGAGAAAAGTTGCAATTACTTGCCTCTGCTGTAAGAGAAACCCCAGCCACATCTTCAGCACACAAGAACTTCAAAATGCCTAAATCGCAGCAGCCAGGTGTTCCTCCAGGACCTCATCCCCCAAGATCTTGCTTCAAGTGCCGAAAATCTGGCCACTGGGTTAAGGAATGCTCGCAGCTTGGGATTCCTCCTAAGCCATGTCTCATCTGTGCAGGACACCACTGGAAATCAGACTGTCCAACTCGCCTGGCAGCCACTCTGAGATGCCCTGGAACTCTGGCCCAAGGCTCTCTGACTGACTTCCCAGATCTTCTCAGCTTAGCAGCTGAAGACTGACACTGTCCAATCGCCTCAGAAACCTACAAGACCATCACAGAAGCTTTGGATAACTCTTACAGTGAAAGGTAAGTCCATCCCCTTCTTCATCAATATGGAGGCTACCCACTCCACATTGCCAACTTGGACAACATTCTTTTATACTCTCCTTTTTAGTTATCCCTACCTGCCCAGCTCCCTTATTAGGTCGAGACATTTTAACTAAATTATCTGCTTCCCTGACTATTCCTGGACTACAGCTACACCTCACTGCTGCCCTTTTCCCCAGTTTGAAGCCTCCTTCACATCCTCCCCTTGTGTCTCCCTACCTTAATCCACAAGAATAAGATACCTCTACTCCTACCTTGGCAAACGATCATGCACCCCTTATCATCCCATTAAAACCTAATCACCCTTTCCCCACTCAATGGTAATATCCCGTCCCACAGCAGGCTTTAAAAAGGTTAAAGCCTGTTATCACTCACCTGCTACAGCATGGGTTTTTAAAGCCTATAAACTCTCTTTACAATTCCCCCATTTTACCTGTCCAAAAACTGGACAAGTCTTACAGGTTAGTTCAGGATCTGTGTCTTATCAACCAAACTGTCTTGCCTATCCACCTCGTGGTGCTAAACCCCTATACTTCCCTATCCTCAATACCTCACTCCACAACCCCTCCACAACCCATTATTCTGTTCTGGATCTCAAACCTGCTTTCTTTACTATTCCATTGCACTCTTCATCCCAGCCTCTCTTTGCTTTCACTTGGACTGACCCTGACACCCATCAGCCTCAGCAACTTACCTGGGCTGTACTGCTGCAAGGCTTCGGGGACAGCCCCCATTACTTCAGTCAAACCCAAATTTCTTCCTCATCCATTACCTGTCTCAGCATAATTCTTCATGAAAACACATGTGCTCTCCCTGCTGATCATCTCCAGCTAATCTCCCAAACCCTAACCCCTGCTACAAAACAACTCCTTTCCTTCCTAGGCATAGTTAGGTACTTCCACCTTTGGATACCTGGTTTTGCCATCCCAACTAAACCATTCATTCTCCCCATTTCCCCATATTTCCCTCTTTCCTTTTGCCCACACAGACCACACTTGGTTTACTGAAGGTAGTTCTTCCAGGCCCAATCACCAATCACCGGCAAAGGCAGGCTATGCTATAGTGTCTTCCACATCCATCATTGAGGCTACCACTCTGCCCCACTCCACTACCTCTCAGCCAGCTGAACTCATTCCTTTAACTTGGGCCTTCACACATGCAAAGGGACTATGCATCAATATTTACACTGACTCTAAATATGCCTTCCATATCCTGCACCACCATGCTGTTATATGGGCTGAAAGAGGTTTCCTCACTATGCAAGCATCCTCCATCATTAATGCCTCTTTAATAAAAACTCTTCTCAAGGCCACTTTACTTCCAAAGGAAGCTGGAGTCATTCACTACAAGGGCCATCAAAAGGCATCAGATCCCATCGCTCAGGGCAATGCTTATGCTGATAAGGTAGCTAAAGAAGCAGCTAGCATTCCTAATTCTATCCCTCACAGCCAGTTTTTCTCCTCATCAGTCACTCCTACTTACTCTCCCACTGAAGTTTCCACCTATCAATCCCTCCTTACTCAAGGCAAATGGTTCTTGGACAAAGGAAAATATCTCCTTCCAGCCTCACAGCCCATTCTATTGTGTTGTCACTTCATAACCTCTTCCACATAGGTTACAAGCCACTAGCCCACCTCTTAGAACCTCTTGTTTACTTTCCATTGTGGAAATCTATCCTCAAGGGAATCACTTCTCAGTGTTCCATCTGCTATTCTACTACACCTCAGGGATTGTTCAGGCCCCCTCTCTTCCCTACACATCAAGCTCGAGGATTTGCCCCTGCCAAGGACTGGCAAATTGACTTTACTCACTTGCCCCGAGTCAGGAAACTAAAATACCTCTTCATCTGGGAAGACACTTTCACTGGTTAGGTAGAGGCCTTTCCCACAGGGTCTGTGGTCATTTTTTCCCTTCTGTCAGACATAATTCCTCAGTTTGGCCTTGTCACCTCTATACATAATTTTATTTTGTTAAGTCTATTCTTCCTTACCCTGCTCTTGCAACAGGGCTTTACGCATTCACCCCCACTACTTAGAGTGCATCCCAAAAAATTTCTTCCCTGCTATCTTCTGTCTAGTCATACTCCTATTCTTCATTCTCACCTATCCATAAATGCCCTGCCCTTGTCTACACTGCCAGCTTGTGCTTTTTCTCCAAACCATCATAGCTGGTCCTGGTCTTATCCACTAAGACCTTATTCCCTGGTCTTACCCACTCTTAACTCCCTCTTGGAGTGGATAGATGCCTTTTGCTGGGAAGGCACACTCCAATTCTTTCACCCACTTTACATTTTCAGTTTTGCCTTACACAAGGTCTCTTCTTCCTCTGTGGCTCCTCCACCTACATGTGTCTACCTGTTAACTGGACAGGCACATGTACACTAGTTTTCCTTACCCCCCAAAATCAGTTTGCGAATAGGACCAAACAGCTTCCTGTTCCCCCTCATGACACCTATACTTCACTACTATTTTGTTTTGTTTTTCTTATTATTAATATAAGAAGACAGGAATAGGCCTTGACTTTCTCACTGCTGAAAAACGAAGACTGTATATTTTTAAATGAAGAACACTGTTTCTACCTAAATCAATCTGGCCTGGTATATGACAACATAAAAAAACTCAAGGATAAAGCCCCAAAACTCGCCAACCAAGCAAATAATTATGCTGAACCCCCTTGGACACTCTCTAATTTGATGTCCTGGGTACTCCCAATTCTTAGCCCTTTAATACCTATTTTTCTCCTTCTCTTACTTGGACCTTCTGTCTTCCGTTTAGTTTCTCAATTCATACAAAACCGCATCCAGGCCATCACCAATCATTCTACATGACAAATGCTCCTTCTAACAATCCCACAATATCACCCTTTACCCCAAGTCTTTCTTCAGTTTAATTTCTCCCACTCCAGGTTCTCATGTGGCCCCTAATCCCGCTCAAAGCAGCCCTGAGAAGCATTGCCCATTATCTCTCCATACCACCCCCCAACACTTAACCACTATTTTGTTTTATTTTTCTTATTAATATACGAAGACAGGAATGTCAGGCTTCAGAGCCCAATCCTGCACGTATACATCCAGATGGCCTGAAGCAAGTGAAGAATCACAAAACAAGTGAAAATGGCTGGTTCCTGCCTTAACTGATGACATTATCTTGTGAAATTCATTCTGTTGAACAATGAGTCTCAGAAGCTCCCTGCTGAGCACCTTGTGACCCCTGCCCCTGCCCACCAGAGAACAACCCCTTTGACTGTAATTTTCACTACCTACACAAATCCTGTAAAACTGCCCCACTCCTATCTCCCTTTGCTGACTCCTTTTTCGGATTCAGCCCACCTGCACCCAGGTGAAATAAACAGCTTTATTGCTCACACAAAGCCTGTTTGGTGGTCTCTTTACCCAGATGTGCATGACAGTGGTAATTCTATGTTTAGATTTTTTAAGAAATCGCCATGCTGTTTTCCATAGTGGCTGTACTAATTTCCATTACTACCAGCAGTGCATAAAAAAATCTCCCTTTTCTCTGCATCCTCACCAGCATTTGTTATGTTTGTGTTTTTAATGACAGCCATTTTAACTGAGGTAAGATGCTATCTCATTGTGGTTTTGATTTGCACTTCCCTGATGATTAATAACGTTGAACATTTTTTCATATACCTATTGTCTATTTGTATGTCTTATTGTGGGAAACGTCTATTCATGTCTTTTGCCCACGTTTTAATGTGATTATTTTTCTTCCTGTTGAGTTGCTTGAATTTCTTGTATTCTAGATATCAGCCCTTTGTTTGATGAATAGTTTGCAAATATTTTCTTCCATCGGATAAATTGACTCTTCACTTTGCTGATGGTTTCGTTTGCTACAAACTCTTTAATTTTCTTGCTGACAAATCTGAATATCTATCATTAAAATTGTTACAGTAGCATGTATGGCTTAATGATATGTTTAATTGACTAAATGGGCCAAATTCAAAATTGCAGAGCTGTGAGTTATCGCTTTTATGTAGCAGCTACAAATATTAGCCCATGACTCCAGGTGAGCAAGAAAAGACTTTTTCTGGTTACTGATACTCATTTTTATATATGTTGTTGTATTAGTCCATTTTCACACTGCTAATAAAGACATACCTGAGACTGGATAATTATATAAAAAAAAAGTTTTAATGGACTCACAGTTTTAAATGGCTGGGGAGTCCTCACAATCATGGTGGAAGGCAAAGGAAGAGCAAAGGCACATCTTACATGGTGACAGGCAAGACAGCTTGTGCAGGGGAACTCCCATTTATAAACCCATCAGATCTCATGCGACTTATTCACTATCACCAGAACAGTATGTGGAAAATCACCCTTGTGATTCAATTATCTCCACCTGGCCCCATCCATGACACATGGAAGTTATTATAATTCAAGGTGAAATTTGGGTGGGGACATGGCCAAACTGTATCAGTTATTAATGTTTATAATAAGCTCCCATGGAGTTTAGGGTTGCTGACAACTCCCCAAAAGGTTGTGTCTCATTTGGGGAGAGATTTTTTGTATGAAAGCATGGGGCTGGAGAGTGGGAGAGATATATTCTATTTTCAGATACTTCTTTCTAGTTCCAGAACATTGACATAGGCATTCAGGTCACATCTTGGCTCACTGCAACCTCTGCCTCTCAGGTTCAAGTGATTCTCCTGCCTCAGCCTCCCAAGTAGCTGGAACTACAGGTGTTTACCACCATGCCCAGCTAATTTTTATATTTTTAGTAGAGATGAGGTTTCACCATGTTGGCCAGGATGGTCTCGATCCCTTGACCTCATGGTCCACTTGCCTCGGTCTCCCAAAGTGTTGGGATTACAGGCGTGAGCCACTGCGCCAGGCCAAACAACTCAAACTTTCATCTTGCGTTTTGATTTTAAACCAAGAGTTTCAATCTTATGACAATCAGGTAATGACACTTGTCATTGTTAGGAAATCCTAACAATTATTTTCATTTTTAAACACTTATTTTGAGTGGTTTGAAACCAACTCAAAGTTGCAGAGGTGCGAGTACTGAGTGTTTAAAAATAAAAATCTTAAAAATTCTCATTATATTTAAACAATTAAGAATAAATTTTCACTGAAATCTCAAAATTTAAACCTGCTGAGAAAGCTGCTTTTTGACTCTCCTCTATTAAAAAACAAATTAAGAAATCTTATGTTTCAAAGTTGAACCGTCTTTAAAAAATTCTAATCATCCAATTAAAAAATATCTTGTATTTTAATAAGACAAGCTACTTTAAAAATAAAGAGGGAAAAGTTCTTAATACAGCTGTGTTCCTACAGGAATTGCTTTTTTTAATATTAAACCTTTTTTTAGGAAAAGTAAGATAGAAATTAAAGGAGATTCTGTAGATCTTCTTGGAGATTAAGGAATACAACAATTTACAATGGAACATGTATACCAGTCTTTTAATGGAGTACACAACTGTATTTGTAAATGATAAAGTAAAAACTTGTTGCCACTTGAACTACTCAGGGATCATATAAGAGCAGAAATAAAATAGCTAACACACAAACTTTATCTATACTGTCTTAGGTACTAATTGATGTGCTACATATATTAATTCATGTGATCCTCATGAAAAGGCATTATTTTAAACTATGTTTTATATATGAGTATGTACAGCATAGGATAGCTAAAATTCCCTAAGCCACACACTTAGGATTTGGTGACAGACAATCCAGGTCCAGCCAAAATCTATGCTGCTGAATACTAATAAATATTGTATCTTAGACCAATTGAAATGCTCTCTTATTGAGAGAAAAATGAAGAATTTTCAGAATGTATCTCATACCAAAAAATAAACACATAACCACCATCAATAGCTCATTTAAGGTAAACAACATGTGGTTTATGGTTTTCCATAGCCTTTTAAAGATTTTTTTTGCAGATTTTGTTAATGCTCAGTAAACCATGTATAAGTTCAAACACTGGTGATTTTCTTTCATAATATGGTTGAATCATTTTCATTGATATATTTTTATACTTCAATTTATAAAATATGAATATATATTTCTGGGAAATTAAGTTTAAAAGTGAACAAAATGAATTATAAAACATTGGCTGCCACGAGTATCTTTCTTTTCAAACTTTCACATCATAAATATTTATTCTAGAAAATAGCAGGTCAAAAATCATAATTAGGGATAATTACAGTTTTACATATTCCAAGTGGAAATTATAATTTTCCAAATCACTAAATTCACCCATCTCTGGTATATCACCACATATTAGCGTAAGTATATTTGTTTTCCATTACTTCTGTAACAACTTACCACAAACTTAGTAAGGTAAAACAGCACAAGTTTCCTCTTCTACAGCTCTGGAAGTCAAAAATTTAAATTCAAGGTGTTGGCAGAACTGCTTTTCCTCTAGAGGATTCAGGAAAAAATACTCTTGCTTGCTTTTTTCAGTTTGTAGAAGCTACCTGAATTCCTTGGTTTGTGGCCTCTTCCTACATCTTCAAAGCCAGCAGCATAGCATCTTCCAATTGGCCTCTCTGTTTCCATCATTGCATTGCCTTTTGCTCTTTGATTCTAATCTTCCGAACTCTCTTAGATAAACAGCCTTATGATTATCTTGGGTTTACCTGGATAATCCAAAATAATATCATCATCTTGAAATCCATAATTTAATCACATCTACAAAGACCCTATTTCCATTTAAGGTAAAATATTCACAAGTTCCACAAATTAGGTTGGTGGAGACTATTATTCAGTGACTAACAAAAAATATTTTCTAGTATTAGATAGGGGTATCTTTGCATTAAAACTTGGATAATTTTAGTTCCTGACTTTCCTGAACATATATTTTTAACTATGTCATAGATCGTAGAATTTTCAACATCATAAGAAGTTTTAACATTGTAACATAGACTGTTTCACCATTAAAAATAAACTATCCCATTTTAAAGACAAAACACTAAAGTCTCTAGAGTTTGTGTCTTATTAAATATTAAATCACTCTCTTGTGTCATAGATTTATTTCTTGGTCTCATTACTCTTGAATGTTTCCCTGGTCTTGCTTATTACTCAAAATAAATATGTTCATTTCAGATATTTTAACCACTGTATTTCCTCTCTTCAAAAAGAAAAACAGAGAAATCTTTACAAATGCTTGAGTAATAGGCATACTTGGGAGAAATTCAGAGTTACTGTTAAAATGAATTCTTTTGCAGGTGTCTGGATAAGAAACTGACCACATCACTGATTTTTGGCAAAGTAACTGATGTACGAGCTGCCTAAAATAGAAAATAAGGGCAACTTACTCACTTTCATCTTTCTATCATTCTGGCAGTACCAGCTCCTGGGAAATTTTTCAATCCTTCTTTAGGTCTTTGAAGTTTGTAATTGCTTTGGAAACTGTAAAAAATTTTTCTTACTGAAAACAAAAACTAGAATGTGTGATTCATAAATCAGAATTTAATAATTAGTCCAATGACCAAATACAAAAGGGTTTTGCAGAAATTTTAAGAGGAATTTCTAAAGAAATGTCCAAAGAAAGGCCTAACTGAATATGTAATAACTATCAACGAATTTGCAAATAATTAGTGCATAATTTTAATAAGTAATCATTGCATAACATAAGTAACGTATTTTAATCTTAGGTTTTTTGTTGAAAGATGTGAACTCTGTTACATTTCTTTATTAAAAGCAGAAAAAGCTTTTATACTTCTGCTCATTCAGATTATTATCTAAACTCACATAATTTATGTTTACTACATAACTTCACTTTCCAGATAATATATTTATTGTAGAAAATATAATTACACAGCATCATTAGAACAAAAAAACTACTTTGACTCCAATCATTTGCATATTTTATTGAAAACAGCTTTTAATTTGAAAATGTATTATGATGAGGACTGACACATAAAATCAATAACATATATATCCTCTAGGGCACTAGTTTTAATGAAATTTTTACATGTTCTGAATAGAATAGTAATAACAGAGATTGCTATTAATTTATTACAATGTTAAGAGTATGTTAGTAATACTAATACTTAAAATGTGTATATTCTCTGAAATTTTTTAGATCCAATGTTTTTCATTCTAATATTATCAGCTAGGTAATAAGTATTATACTTTTTAACCTACTGACATGAAAACTGAGGTTCATAAAACAGTATTTTTTTTTCTGACCACAAGGCACAAGTTTTCAGGAGGTAGGATACAGTCTGGCACAGTGATTGGGAAAAGGTCATGGTTAGTAATCAGACATGGGACTCATACCTTTTCAGTTTTAAGTGAATCACTTGACCTCATTTTTCTCATCTGCAAACTAGAATTGAGAATACCTTTTATGCTCATCTTTAATAAAAAAAAGAATGATCATAGATAGAAAAGTCACCTTGAAATGTCAATGAAACGATCACTTTTTCCTAAAATCAACACCCATAGCTTTACGATAATATTTGAGAATGTATATTTTGGCTTATAAAATGTATGTTAATTATAAGTACATTTATTTTAAGTTTGTGAATTATTACATTAATAAATCATAACTGAGGTAATTACTAATGTATTGCTACAATATTAGATTTCACATCTGATAGGTATCTTATTTTTTTCTTGCTGATCAACAAGATGTCTTACAACATGGATTTCTGATCAATGATCTTGTTAATAAACTAATCTAAATGGATGCTTCTGGGCATCTCCTAAAGAAAAGAAGATTTTTGAGAAAGCTAGCAGAAGAGAAATACAGTTTATGAATAATGCATGTATTTGTTCCCTTCTATCTCCCTGCCTTTTGCTTGTAATGATATGTTTTGATAGTTGTAAATAGCAGGGATTTGTGGATGAAAGATACTGCATACCTGAAGGTGTTTCACCATTCCAGAGATTTGACATGCCATTAAATCACCCTAACAGCAAAATTGGTAAATGCTGCTTAATGTTAAGCTATGAAATGATAATAATTACATAGTGGTTTTACTAGAGATGATAAACATTTTGCAAAATTGTGATTGCATTAATAATTTTTAGTGGTAATACGTCCAATGAGACACATGGGATTTATGGCAAGTAGATGTTATACAAATATTATCTCTTAATGAGGGGCATAGCATTTGCCAAAGTATGCATGCTTGATGTTGTGAGGCTTACAAGGATTCAGACAATTTTACTTTGTGGTTTGCCTAATAGTCTTCAAATCTGACATACTTCTTCCTTTTGGAACTGATAATAATAGCTATTATCACAGGAGATCCAGGCAATGTGCTAAGCATTTTGCATGTATTATTTCTGAGTACATTAAAACCATACAGTTTCCAGAAATACATTGCATGATAATTATGATGATGATGATGATGACCAATATGTATGCTTAATACCTTATATTAGTATAAGTTTCATAAATCCTGTTCAAAATAAGTATATCTCACGAACCAGTTTTAATTTTAAAATATTTCATTGCCATTAATTAGTCATAGTGTCTAGGATAGTAGTAAGGAGTCAAGGTTTTAAGAATTTAAGTCATTTTTCCAAGATCAAAAGACATGTTAATGATGTGGCTATGACCAGATTCACCTCTTTTGTATTTGGTAGCCACTTAGTTCTTACCCTCTATATTGGTTACCTAATGCTGAATAACAATTTATCACAAAATTAGTGGTTTGAAACAACACAAGATTTTTGTCTCCCTGTTTCTGTGGGTCAGAATTCTAGGCAAAGTTTAGCTGAGTCTTCCCAAATGCCTCCAATAAAGTGTCAGCCAGGGCTGTGGTCTCACCTCAAGTCCTGACCGAGGAAGAATCTACTTTCAAGCTCATCTGGTTCTTGACAGAGCCCAGTCCCTTGTGGATTGTAGAAACAAAGGCATTGTTCTGTTTGTTTGTTTGATTGTTTTGCTTTTTGTCAGCCAGAGACCACTGTCAGTTTTCACTGCATGAACTTCTCCATACAGCAGCTCAAAACATAGCAGTTTGCTTCAATAATACCAGCAAGTGAGATGCTAGCAAGAACATGTTATAAGATCACGTAACTCAATAATGTACTTGACATCATATTGTTATGTTGTACGTTCTTGGTCAGAAGCAAGCTACACGTCCTGCCAATATTGAAAAGAAGGGGAATACACAAGGTTGTATCAGGAGGTGAAAATTATTTGGGGTGACCGTTAGAGTCTGTGTAGTACAGCCTCTTTACTGACATCTTTGGAAATGATATGATTCTTCACTTTAGCTACAGTCATGATCCTGGGTTTTTACTGCCTACATAAATCAACCATCCAAGAACATGAACAACGTGGTTTTCCAGTTTCTTATCTTGCTTTTTCAATGACCTACCACTCTACTCATTATACCTATTTCTGAAATCGTAACCTAGACCTTTCCATTACTCATAATTTAACAACCTTCCACTCCTCCTAAGGAGGAGTGATGATAAGTATGAGTAATGGAAAGGTTGCTCATAATTTAACATAATCTTCTCATCCATCAAGTTTCAGCTCTTAAGTAATATTTTCATTAAAAATATTTATGCCCATCTCACAGTGGTATAGGATTCATGTTGAATTCTTCCACACAAAGATTGTGAACCTTGTCAACATTTCACTTATCATAGTTGAAATTCTAATTTATTTGAGTTTTTCTCTTTCAATAATATCTTTTGCACATTTGATTATAATTGTCATGATGATATTGTTTTTGCCACTGTTAGCACAGGGCTTGCTGTGCCTTAGGAGTCAATCAATATTGTTGACTAAATTGCTAAAAGAATGATTCATAGAGTTAGATTTAAAATTCACTATTGATCGCCTACTTTATCTTCTTCATTCTTATTCATCTCTAAGACTTTGAAAGAAATCTTACAAACTCAGTATGTGTACTTTTTTATTGCCGCTGATGCTGACTTTGTTCTGTTTCCATATCCTCTGTTTCTCACTAGGTAAGATGTTTATTTAAAGCCCAAATGAAAAGATGCTACTCAGAAAATATTTCCTAAAATTTTGAAGATTTGTCATTAAACTATTTTTTGTATATTTAAATGTATTGTGTTTCTTATGTTGTTATGATTAAATGATTTTATAAGAAATTAATAGCCAGGAATGGTGGTTCACGCCTGTAATCCCAGCACTTTGGGAGGCTGAGCTGGGAGGATCACTTGAGGTCTGGAGTTCAAGGCAAGCCTGGCCAAAATGGTAAACACAGATTCCACTAAAAATACAAAAATTAGCCAGGCGTGATTGTATGCACCTGTGGTCCCAGTTACTCAGGAGGCTGAAGCAAAAGAATTGCTTGAACCCAGGAGGCAGAGGCTGCATTGAGCCAACATCATGCCACTGCACTCCAGCTTGGGTGACAGAGTGAGACTCCATCTCAAAAAAAAAAAAAAAAAAAAAGAAAGAAAGAAAAAAATAAAATAATAGAAGTATTTTCCTTAAAACAAGCAATATAAAACAACTTGTTTCATTATCTTTAGATAAACCAGTTTATTATGTGCTAACTGCATTTATTAGGAAGCAGAGATTTGTGCTGACTGTCACAGAAACAAGAAAAAATAGGGGTATCAATTTAAAGATATCCTGGTTACCAAGTAAATGTATGTTGACTAAAATTAAAAGGTTAAAGGGCTGACAGAAGAAGAAACTGGAATCTATCAGATAATGGGACTTTCAATTATTTTGAAAATAAATTAGAAGCGTTTAATATTTAATGATTCTAGTAAAGTAATTCTTTCTAAACATGAACAAAAATTAAAATAAAGAAAAGTCAAGGTATT
Organism: Homo sapiens; assembly: GCF_000001405.40. Classification (NCBI taxonomy): domain Eukaryota; kingdom Metazoa; phylum Chordata; class Mammalia; order Primates; family Hominidae; genus Homo; species Homo sapiens. The sequence continues at coordinate 37,570,049 of NC_000011.10, read as the reverse complement.
AAGGGACAAAAATATTTAAGCTTCTCATTGACAAGCAATGGAGGCAAATATTGCAAAAGGGATTACAAGTTTCTGTAAATATTGACGTTCTTAATGTCCAGTTTAGGGTCCAAAAGAGACTTCAGGAGCTTAGGACAACTCCTTCCCAAAATGCTAGGCCAAATATGGAGGGTATCTACATAGGATTATTTTATTCAAGTTGAGTACGTTTTTCAAAAAATTTATTATATGCACAAATGAATCTTTGACCAAAGTAACACTTGACATAAAAAAAGTTAAAACCCCTATATTAAAGGTTAAAATATTCCATCTTATCATTTTGCCTGTTTATCAGACAGGTGGTGTAGCCAGACTTAGCCAATATTCAAAGACAGAAGCATGACCATCTGAATCACAGATATCATAGGCCTTGCCCTTAAAGTCCTACACACTCTTGTCCAGTGCTTGAAATAATTGTTCCTCTATTCTAAGGAGAAGTAAAGGATTAAAATAGCAACATTAGAACTTCATCTAAAATTCTTATACTTCAAACAATATTGCCTTTAGACCCAAACAAGAATCCTGTCCTTGGCACTTCACCTCTGTTCTTTGGAATGCCTTTCTCAAAAGTTTCTATTAATAAATCCCATTTCAGTGCCTGAGATGAGATAGGGCTGGCCTGCCATTTAAGATGAGTGGCCAATCCCACTTCAAACTATGTGAGCCTCAGTCACCATTTCACTCCTTGAAGACTCTCTCCAACCCTTCTAACTCCCCAGTCTCACATGTGCACTTGACTAGATGCTCTAACAAGCTCCAGGACTTGCACCTGGGAGGTTGTCTTTAAATCTCCTGGCCATTCTCTAGTTTTAAGAAGGCGGACTCGCAAGTGAATCATTTTCTCTGACTTACATTATATTTCCTTTGTGAAACTGCATGAAATTGGACAGGCAGAATGGTACAGTCATGCTGATTTTAGGTGACTCTTCCATGTCGGACAAGAGATGAATGCATGGTTCTTGGCTAGCAATCATCCACTATGTCTTGGGTTTGAGCTATAAACGTAGACTCATGCATCAGTTCTTGCTGGTTGGTTAACTCTCACTTGTCAGTGTTGTCACTGCAGTACTGCCTTTGAACGACAGCCCTCAAGGATGGCAGAAATGGTGGTAGGAGGCCTTTACTCTCTGTGCCCTTTGACACTGCATAGAAGACAGTCATCATGTTCTTTAAAGATCAGGACATATGTCAGGCAGTCCTCTAGTGGCAGCTATGTTAATCTTTTCTGAGGATTTTGGAGGGAGCCAAGTGATGTCCTCTCTTACTTCCAACTGGGACATCATGGTCTGCTTTGTCAATCTGAGGCCAAGCCAGATGAGGGAGGGATACAGTTTGTATAAATGAAACTGCTGTTCTCAGTCTACGTGCAGTTTTTCACTGGTCTTTCTTCCTGATTGTAGTGTTTGGAAGAAGGAGATATGGTTAATTTAGGGAAAGGTCCACATCCTAGAATGTATGTATTTTTTGAGATATGGAAAGAACATGGATTGTTTTATATTTATGTTACCAAATTCCAATTGCTAAATTTAACACGACCAGAAAACAAGTATTGCTCACATTTTCCTGCATACTCTGAGTAAGACTTGTACTTTCGGTCATCACTAAAAGAATAAAGAAATAACATATGATAGAAACATTGGAAGACAATATTCATGGGAGGCAAAAGAGGTGATACAGCATCATGAGCAATGATACAACCAGCAGTATATAAATGGCGTTCATTAACAGCAAAGGCAAGAATATCACTACTATTGCAATAGAAAAAAGTTCCTAAGAGACATGGCTCGTGATAAATAACAGCATCACTACCTTTTTATGACATGCTGAGACATGCAAAATGATCAAAGAATACCACTTTGGCAATGTAGAACCTAAAGAAATAGATCCTGGACCCAAAGAGGGAAAGACATAACCTGAACACTATAAAAAGTTTATGCATGCTGATTGAGCAATGCATAAATATATAAATAAAACTTTTTAAACAATTCTAAATTTTCATGAATTACTATGCCTTACATGGGCCTGTAACTTTAGAATTTTTGGAAAAGCAGCTTTACTAAGATATAATTCATATATCATAAAATTCAGCCTTTGAAAGTATACAATTCAGTGTATTTTAATATATACACAGAGTTGTCCAATCGGCACCACTAGATCACTAAAGAACATTTTCATCGCTACCCCAAAAAACTCACTGTGAAGAAACAGTCATTCTCTTTCCTACACTTGGCCAGATCCTTGCAACTATCAGTGTACTTTCTCTTGATGGATCTGCCTATTCTGGACGTTTTAGATAAATGCCAGTATTCAGTGTGGCCTTTTTAGCCAGCTTCTTTTACTTATAATGTTTTCAAGGATTAACCAATTTTAGCAAGTATCAGTACTGCACATATTTTATTACCAGATACAATTTTATCTATGGATATACCACTTTTTGTTTATAAATGGCTACACAAACAGACACAAAAGTTATGAGTGCTTTCATTTCTCAACATTCTCACCAAGACCTGATATTATCTGCCTTTTTCATGTTAGCCATTCTAGCATGTTCAAAGTAGTAGCTCACTGTGGTTTGGGTTTGCATTTCCGTAATTACTAATGATATGAAACATCTTTTTGTGTGCTTATTGGCCATTTTTATATCTTCTTTGGAAGCACGTTTAGTCAAATTCATTGTCTATTTTGAAATATAATTTACCTTATTTCTGAGGTATAATTTTTAAACATAATTTGGGTACTACACTTTTACTAGATATGTAATTTGCAAATATTTTCTCTCCTTCTGTATGTAAGTTGTCAGTTTACTTCCTTGACGGTGTTCTTTAAAGCACAAAAGTTTTTAATTTGGTGATGCCTAACTTACGTATTTCTTCTTTAGTTACCTGTGTTTTTGGTGTCATACACAAGAAACCTTTGCCTAATCCAAGGTCATAAAGATTTAAAATTCTGTATTCCTCTAAGAGTTTTATAGATTTAACTCTTTTACTCAAGTCCATAATTCATTTTGAGTTAAATTTTGGATATGGTGTAAGGTAGGGGTATAATTTATTTATTGCATGTACGTATCAGTTGTATTCTGTTTAGGACTCTAAGATCTATATTTCTAAGTGATATTGATTTGTAATTTTCTTGTGATGTTTTTGTCAAGTATTGTACTGTGGTTAGAAAACAGTTTGCATAAATTCAATCCTTTTGAATTTAATGAGGCTTTTTTTCACAGCATGATGTATGATGTATCCTGGAAGCTGTTAGATGTGTACCTAAGAAGAATACTTTTTCTACTATAACTGGTTGAAGTTGTCTGTAGATATCTGTTAGATCTAACTGGTTTATCATGCTGTTCAACTTGTCCATTTTCTTGTTGATCTTCTGCTTAGTTGTTATATCCATTATTAGAATGGGATGTTAAAATCTCTGCTATTGTTATCTAGTATTTATTTTTTCATTAATTCTGTTAGCTTTTGCTTCATGTAGTTTGGGGCTCTGTGGTTAAGTGTTTTCAAGTTTTTAATTGTTATTTTTCCTGATATATTTTACCTTTATCATTATGAAATGCCTTTCTTTGTCGCTAAGAACAATTTTTCTATTAAAATATATTTTGTTTAATATTAACACAGCCACTCCAGCTCTTTTTAGTGTGTTTGTAGGACATATCACTTTATATCCTTTTATATTACAACTGCTCATGTCACTGAATCACAAGTATGTCTCTTATAGACATTTTGTAATTAAATCATTTTTTTCAAAATCCATCCTGCTGATTGCCGGCTTTTCAATAGAGTGTTTAATACATTTACATGCAATGTATTTACTGATGAGGTAGGATTTGTCTGTCATTTTACTTATATATGCATGCATTTGTTTATTAATATACATTTTAATTATACACACACACATACACACTGATATAGTGGGTTTTATTGTTCCTCTCTCCATTGCTGCCATATTTTACATAAATTGATATTATCTAGTGTATTACTTTAACTCCCTTGTCATTTCTTTATAATATATATTAGTCATTTTCTTAGTGGATGCCCTAGGGATTACAATTAACATCTAAATTTGTGACAATCTAGTTCAGATTATGGCTAACTTAATTACACAAAAATTTGTTCTCATATAGTTTCCTCCTGTTCCTTGGTACTAAAATTGCCCTATAAAGTATATCTTTATATTTTATAAGCCTATAATCACGTTTTAAAAGTTTATTTATTTATATATTAATTTATTTATTTCAGACTGAGTCTTGCTCTGTCACCCAGAATGGACTGCAATGGTGCAATCTCAATTCACTGCAATCTCCACCACCCAAGCTCAAGAAATTCTCCCACCTCAGTCTTCTGAGTAGCTGGGACCACAGGCACATGTCACTACACTCAGTAAATTTTAATTTTTTTTTTCTTAGAGACGAGGTCTCATTATATTGCCCAGGCTGGTCTTGAACTCCTGCGCTCAAGCATTCCTCCTGCCCCGGCCTCCCAAAGTGTTGCAATTACAAGTGTGAGCCAACCACTGTGCCCAGCACAAACACAATTTTATAATCATTGCTTTAGCAGTTGTCTTTAAGATAAAATTGGAGGAAAAAAAAGTTACAAAGAAACCCCCTTATATATATGTATATTTTAAAATGCACTAATAAAGTTACTTTTGCCATTTTTCTTCATTTCTTCATGTGCTTTCCAGTTATAATTTGGTGTCCTTTATTGTCAAATAAACTACTCCCATTGGTAATTTTTTGTAGGGCAGATCTGATAGCAGTAAATTATCTCAGATTTTATTTATCTGAAAATATCTTAGTTTCTCTTCATATTTAAGTAGCAGTTTAGCTAGATATATAAAATTTTTGGTAACATCTTTTTCTTTTAGCACTTAGAATGTCATTCCACTGCTTTCAGGCCTCCAAGGTTTCTCTTCAGAATTTGTCGGTCTTATTAAGGATACTTTGTTCATGATTATCTCTTCTGTTTTGCTACTTTCTTAAGATTTTCTTTGGCTCTTGCTCTTCGCAATTTGGTTATGATGTGTCTAGGTGGTGCAGAACTCTGGGTTTGTACTAGTTGAAGTTTTTTTTTTTTAGTTTCTTGGAATTTTAAATTTATATCTGTTTCATCAAATTTGGAATGTTTACAACCACTCTTTCTCTAAATGTTATGTATTCACTTTTTTATATCTCCTCTCTTTCTGGGATTTCCATATGAACATGGTACACTTGATGGTGTAGTTACACAAGTCTCTGATGCTCTGTTCATGTTTCTTTATATTATTTTTCTTTTTGTTTCTTAGACTGGATCATCTCAACTGACCTATATTCGAGTTAATTGATTCTTTCTCTGCCATCTGAAATGGTACATAGAGTCCCTCTAGTAAATGTTTTGTTTCAGTTATTGTAGTTTTCATTTTTCCACCACCCAGGATTTGTCGTTATTGCTGTTTGTTTTGGTGATGGTGGTTTGTTATGTCAGTATCATTCTACATTTGTTTTCCAGAGTCTATATTCTTTGTCATTTGTAGTCACTAAAATTGTTCCTCAGTTAGCTTGACAGCCACCTAAAGATTAGATACAGAGCATTTATGCGTAACTATCTTTACTATATACATAAGAATGAGATAAAATTGTTTGACATTTATAAACTTCACCAATTAATATTTATTGTTGATTATTTATCGTACATGTTTTTCTTTGAACTGATTTTCATTTTTTTTTAACATTTTACTGATAAATTGGAGTGACTCTTTATAATGCATACTATTGTCTGTGCTGAGCATCAAGGAAAAAGGCTAAATAGGTTGAAGTAAACTCATGGACTATCTAAGAACACAGATGATGAATAAGACATTATTATATCGATGTAATTAATATTATTAAGAGGAAGTGCAAGACCCTAAACTGTCATTATTAAACTTTCTACTCAACATTCAATAAATAATTATCATTTGGACTCAGATTTTTAAAATATTAAATATAATGTGTACATCACAAAGTAGTGATTGCATTTATTTCAGTTAACTAGTACACTTGTGTCTCAACTTTATCTGTGATTTTCTTTTTCCTTGAGGTTTATAACAGTTTCTAATCAGTCATGCTTAATTAACGTTGCACACTATCTTTTAAGCAACTGTATGTAATCCAACTTCTACTTAAAGTATTCAATATGAAATTGTCCATTGAGTTGTCTCATTTCTCCTGATAAATGTTGCTCTATTTTACTTTTTTTCTGAAAAATCAATCTCTGCTTTTGAATTTATCTAAAAACCTTTCTTTTGCTCTAGGATTTAATGTAAAAACCTGATTATTTTTACCTTTTTCAGTGTAAACTCAGAGTAAAGCCATCTTCTTCATCTGAGAACTAATAATTATTTTCTCACATTCCCCAATTATTGCTATGCACTATTTAACTTTAATATACTTTAAAAATTGCTTATTTTATGAAAAAATTTACCATAAATGTGCAACTTAGACTTATTTTCATTAATTAAATAAGTCTATGTACCCATCATCAATATTGAGAAAGATCAATACTAGCACCAGAATAGCCTTGCTTTGCACTACTTACCACTGATCATATCCCAACAACTCATGACCAGGGAAACCACTTTCCTGACTTCTGAAAGCATGTATTAATTATTCTTGGTTCTGAAATTTATCTGGATGAAATTATATATGCGCTTCTTTGAGTCTTATTTATTTCACACAAAATATTAGCAAGAGTAATCCATGCAGTATATTTATTTTTATTGCTGTAAGGAATTATATTTGTGAATATACTAAAGTTTATCTATTCTTACTTTTAAGGGACATTTGGTTATTTACACTTTGGAATAGATTTATCATATGCAAAAAATAATTGCTTATCTATGTTCACCAAAAGCTATATTCTATGATTTTCTTTGAGTATAGCTTTTGGTGAACATAGTTAAGTAATTATTTTTTGAACACACAAAACAAGGAATTAAAAGAATGTTATGTGTTAAAGAAGTATATAAATGCTACTCATAGTTAAAAGGGTAAGAGCTAGTGATGCTGAATTAATTATTCATTTGGCTAAACTCATCACGAAAATATTTGTTATATCAGCTGTCACTGGTTTACATCACCTGAAACATATCTATATTCTCTTCTTGCTAATAAATAATTAAATTTAAGATATTTCCCATTGTTTTTTGAAAGTTATTTTACCTCATATGTTAGGCAAAAGTCCACATCCTTGCATCATAAGTAACCAGATTACGGAGAATTACAAAGTAAGAAGGCAAAATACTTGATTATCTAAAAAGATGTTGGCAATTAGATGGATAAAAAACTTTATACATTGCAAGAGAGAAGGTTAAAAGTATAACATAACTAATATAACTTGTAAATATATCTACTGATTATGTTTTATTGTAAGAGTATTTCACTAGCTTTGATTACCTGGCAATAATCCAAAGCCCAAACTCTTTCTCTTTTAAATATTGTTACTGCCAATGTGAATTGGTACTTAGTCATTATCTTGTTTAATTGTCATCAGCTATCTAAGGGAGAGTCTATCTCATGATTAAAGTTTAAATACTCTTCCATGCCTTTGTTTAAACTACCCTATTTGAGAACAGAAAAAAACTTTTAGAATTATATCTAAGTAGATTGAAGAATTATGAGTAAATTTATCATTTAGGAGATTTTAATCATGAGAAATTACACTTTTTAGAGATAGCTATAATCATATATTTTAAGTAAGCAAATACATTTAAAAATTCCATTTTTTAAAAAAAGTTAAGTTATATTATGTAATACTTTTCAAAATTTTACAAAACTCCTTCTTTACCAAGCAGACATCACTGGTTTTGCCAACAAAGGGACTCTGCAATATTCTCTGATCAGACAGCAAACTTTCATTCTTTTCATTCTTATTAGTGACTCTTGTCTTTATCTAGAATAATTATGCTTCTTTTCCTCAGTTAGTAAAATTCTATCTCTTTTTCAAGACCAATCTAAAATAACCCCTTTGCTCAATTACTGTGTTAATCAGAAAAGGCTATGATAGCAGATAAATCCCTAAATCACAGGTATCATTTTCAAGTGCACAAAGTCCAATTATGTCAGTTGTCTTTAACCATCTTTAGCTGCAATATGTGGAGCACATGGCTTCCAAGATGACCACAATAAGGAAACATGGACCTATGCAAGCACAACACAGCTTAATAATCTCAGCCTGGAGGTGATACATATCATTTCTACTCAGTCTTCTGGCAGAGCTGTTCATATGGTCATAGCCCATCTCTAAGAGAGTATAATATCATACTATTTTTGAAGACTCTCCCTACACCACCAAAAATAAATAAAGTGTGTGTGTATATATATATATATATATATATATATATATATATATATATATAGTTTTAATTCTAAGAAACTTCAATTATTTAGCTTCTGGAAACCTTTTAGATATTTTTAAGAAAGCTGCATTTTACCAATAAATGCAATAGCAGAAAAAGAGAGAGAGAGAGGAGAGAGAGATAGAGAGGAGAGAGAGAGAGAGAGAGAGAGAGAGAGAGAGAAAAGAGCAAGTGCATTAAAACAACAGGGAGATGCTGCAGAGGACCAAAGGCAAAGCCAGGCCATTACTCAGACCACTCAGTTCCCATTTTAGGACTGTTGTTTATATAGCACTTGATTGAGCAGAACTTCACATCTGCAGCATTTTAGAAATAACAATTTTCTCTGATGAGAATTTCCTTCCTATTTCACCCTCTCTTCTCAGAGGCTCTTGAGTCCATACCCTTAAAAGACATCCCACCCTTGCTGATGGATTACATGAGGTCCCTGATGAAGCCTTAGCCAGATTTTTTTCTTTTCCCATAAATCTAAAAGTAAAACTCATTAATCTTTATTGGCCTCTTAAATTAAAACATCAAGTAAAGCTGGAGCTGAAGCTCTTATGATGAACCATGAATGTGTAGGACAGAAAAGTCTACTCAGTGAAGATAACGGAAGTAAGCAAAGCATAGAGAAGACTCACAGAAACGACCATGTGTCCTCTGAGCACTGCGTGGATGAAAACTGCAACTACATTAACTCCTGAATGGTTCTAGTGCTTTCTTTCAGGCCTGGGTAAGGCCCAAATATGCCCCAGACCTAAAGTTCTGTGAAAAAGCCCTGTACACTTTCTAACAGTTCTTTTACTGTAGACTAGTCCAAGTAATCTTACCTTGACAACTATATAATCCCTAAACAGGTGGCCAGTGGTAACTTAAAGCTCCTGATGAGAGAACCTTAAGAGCTTTCTGAATCAATCCAGTACAATTTCACTACATTCTGGTTCTTTGGAAGCTACTACCAGCCCTGTCCACTTTGGCTTCTCCCGGACATAGTGATCAAGGAGTTTCACCTGCAAGTGCCTCCTTGTCCGATCCCCATCAGGGCAAGGACCTGCAGCCATCCGCTGAGGAAACCACAGTTAGTGTTTTGCAGAGGCATCTGGCATCTGGCATGCCTGAAGGATGAGTAAACTCACCTGCAGAGTGAAGGCTCTCTCTTTTTCTACATAGCTTTAGCCTAGATTGACTGGACATTTTTCTTGGCTTCCACTGGCCACGTTATCTGGCTGTTGAAATCAGGCTCCTGATTTCCTGTACCCTGTCTGTGACTTCCTTCTATGAACATGATTAATAATAATAGAAAACACATGCCAGGGACTGATGTAAATTTCTCTCATGTATTAACTCACTTAATCCTTACAAAAAGCTCATAAAACACAGAAATTTTAGTAGTTTTCCTGTGGCAATAGAGACATTCAGGGTAGCCTTCAAATCCCAATGGTCTAGCCTCACAGTCCATTATGTTAACCACTTCGTACTAACAATCTAGAATGGGGCAGTGACTGTCCTCCTAACTACTGTGCCTGGGCTCTGGCTGTAGCTCTGTACTTGAAGCAATAAACTTTCTGGATCTCGGTATCTGTGCTGAAACGTAGCTCTCCAAATCCTTCTTGAAAAATGAGCAAGTAAGGGCTCAGGATCTTGCATGAGTACTAAAAACTTAAATACCTAGCTAGAGGCTGAGTATTAAAAGCTTAAGTACCTAGCTAGAGAGGCTGAGTACTACAAGCTTAAGTACCTAGCTGGAGAGGCTGAGTACTACAAGCTTAAGTACCTAGCTGGAGAGGCTGAGTACTACAAGCTTAAGTACCTAGCTGGAGAGGCTGAGTACTACAAGCTTAAGTACCTAGCTGGAGAGGCTGAGTACTACAAGCTTAAGTACCTAGCTGGAGAGGCTGAGTACTACAAGCTTAAGTACCTAGCTGGAGAGGCTGAGTACTACAAGCTTAAGTACCTAGCTGGAGAGGCTGAGTACTACAAGCTTAAGTACCTAGCTAGGGGCTGAGGAGCATCAGCTTACACGGTTCACTTTTTCTGTCATTTTGCTTATGGGCAGCATGATGATCAAATCCTGAGTCTTTTGTTTGCCACTGGTATGACCTTGGGCAAGGTCCTTTGTCTTTTATGCCCCATATTTTATCAATGAAAAGAGGCAAACAATACCTTCTATCAGAGTGCCAGGGAAAATTAATTGACATGATATACATAAAACACATAATTCTTAAAAATATGTATGTTGCTTTTTGTATATACTCCACTCATTAATCAGATATGTAAATAAAAATATTCAAACATTTGTTTAAAATTATATTTTATACATGATCAGATGTTAAGTAAAAGTTGTGTTGTTCATTGTTTGTATTAATATTTTCAGGACACTTTTCAAGTTAATTAGAGTGCTGCAGTCAAAATTCCATTTTCATTCTCATTTTTTTTTCTGAATGTTTTTCTTTCTCACTTGGAGGTGAAAATAGATCATTAAATTCTATCACAGCCTGATTTTTCTTCACCTTTGAAGTTAGCTTCTGAGGTTTCTTTTGGAGATAGTGATTCTGCAAAGGGCAGTTTTATTACTCATCTTGGGTAAGCAAGGATTAGGGAGATAATCAAAGGTCACGGTTAAAGCAGTGCTGAATTACTTTTTCAGACTCTGAGAACACAAGCAAACAAGTTCTTACCAGTATGTCTGTGGAATCAGACTTCCTGCAAGAAAGATTGTCCTGTCTGCTTTTTGACTTCATATCTCAGCTCCTTTCACAATTGAAAGAGAGGAAGTCTGCTCCTGCTAGTTTGAAAGTTGTTTGCAGTTTTAAAAGAGGCACTTTCTCTCACTTTGTCTCATTCAACAGACAAGTCATGTTTTCCCCAAATTCTATAGATTGGGATGTTGATTTAGTAATCCTTAGTACCACTGGGCCAACAGTTGAAAGTCCTTAAAGTTGAGCCCTGACTTTCACCCTTTTTCCTGTTTTGTGTCTTGTGACTATGCATTAGAACCAAGGGACAACTTGGAAGGAACTCATTAAGTAACTGCCTGCTTGTTGCTTGTTTTTGAAAGCCTCTAAACTTATTTATTCTACACAGACCGCAAACGAATATCATAAATTAGTTAAACACCACTCTGATATCCCTATATATTTTGTCATTGTTATAAAAATTTCAAGGAAAATAACAATCAACAGCCTGGTATGTCCTTTTTTTCACACCCACAGTTTTCCCTTCCAACTGGGAGGTCTGTATTTGTAGCCCTGCTTACAACAGAATTATTGCAATGAGAGAGAAGGAACCAGCTTGGAAAGATCCTCTTCAGCAGGTAGCACTGGACGACTTGAGAAAGGCTGCCTCAGAGAGAGGTGGCTACAGCTACAGATTGTTACATAAAAGACTTTCAACTGGTTAAGTAGCTCTGAAGGAGCAAAATTCTGTTGTCCTATTTCATTTGGCCCTGAATCTGATCACAGGGCCTGTGATTCATTACACAGCTGCCTAGCAGGTGCTTAGAAAGCCACAGTTCTTTATATGAATCTAGACAACAGGTCATTATAAACTGTAACTTTAGTTTTGGAAAACACAATGTACTTGGTTGGATGAAAAGTGTACTTTCATGTTTCCCTTTCTTCTTTTTTCAAACTTGAGATCCTTTTTGTTTTCTCTGAGATTTTGGAGTGATGAAGGCAAGGAGATAGGCAGTATTTTTTTTTTCCGACATAAATAGATTTTCACAGCTTGAAAAAAAGGGGGGAGAATTTTTATCCTAGGAAAGGCAAAATATGTGTCATTAGAATTGGCATTCCAATGAGCTTTAGAACGAATAATATTGTTACTCTTTATCTAAATTTCTATTTGTTATTCAATCATAGGAGTATTAATATTTTTAGAGAATATTTTGAACATTACTTTGTTCAATTATTTCAATGCTGCCAGGTATTTTATTCTCTCTTAATAAATATGAATAGTAAGGCTCAGAGAACTATAAGAAATTGTCAAAGTTGACACATCTAATTAGTACTCAAACCCAGATTTGGCATCAGGTCTGCTGGAATGATAGATTTGATCCAGACTCTAGAAAGCTAGATTTGCTATGCCATGGATTTGGGCATGCACACAAGAGGGGGACACGCTGGAATATAAGATTCCCATGCACAGCACCTCGAGGACAATGGTCTTTTCACTGATGATGCATCCATAAGGCCTAGCTAAGTGTCTGGCCCACAGTAGGTGCTGTGGAATGAATGAATGTTTGCTGAGAAATTAGTGAATGAATGAATACATAAAAAGATTTTAAAGCAGGAGACAGCACAGCATAATTGCAAATCATACCTGATGCAGCCATTGAATTTCCACTCAATTATTTTCTTAAAGTTTTTGTTAGGTAGGTGGAATGTTTCAGTGATCTTTGCACAGTATGGTGACTAGGGTTAATAATAATGTATTGTATTTCAAAATTGCTAGAAGAGTAGATTTTAAATGTTCTCACCACAAAAAATGATAAGTATGTGTGATAATGGATATATTAGTTAAATGGATTTAATCATTTCATAATATATACACATATCAAAACATCACATTGTATACCACAAATATGTACTATCTCATGTCAATTACAAAAATTTAGAAAAAAATAAATTTTTTTAAAAATCAATCTTTGCTTATTATACAACTTTTGATTGTAACAGTATTTTGACATTTCATAAACTTCTAAGGAATGTGATAATAGATAATAATAACCAAGATAAAAATTGGTTTGTAATAGAATAGATGAATTGCTACATGTAATCATATTTGTGGTTCAATATAGAGCTTGCCCCCAGTGTTGGATTCTTTCATTCCATAGAGAGCAGGAACTGGGAGATAATAAAGGAGAATAATGGGTTTGAAGAAGGTTGAGAAAGTCCTTAGGATAGGTGGGGTATATTTGTGTTATTTCCATTTTTTATGAGTAGAAGGCATTTGCCATGTAATCAAGTTACTTAGTAGTATATGCATTGAGTCTTTCTTACCTGATATGGCAACTCTTTGGTTATGTCAGATTAGAGAACTAAAGGGATTCAAGCCAAATTGAAGACCTTAAATTGGGGAGAGGTGGATACTGACATGCTGATCTGAGATATCTTAATTGATGAGACCTGATCCTGAAAACTAAACTGAAGTGTGAGAAAGACTGTGCAGCATCACCAAAGGTCTAGAACACTGGTAAATAGGGATCCCACACATCCTCATAAGAGCAGTCAGGACATTAACATACATGTTTTTTCATGCACATCACATTTCTTACCAAACTCTGAAGAAATCCCTCATCCTACCTTGTGAAATTCAGGACACTTCTTTGCCATAAAAGTGCAACATCATAGCAAAGTATGAAAGGAAACAAAAAGAGAAACAGCCTTTTGCAAAGATCTATACATGTTGTAATAATGAAATATAACGTATCTGTTAAATCACTGTTTATGTCATATAATACTGGCAGTGTGAGGTGGGGAGGATGCATTAGCTAAGGTAGCTATCCCATGGTTGTGTTTCATCTCATTGAGTAAAGAAGTTTAAAACAAATGACATGAACATTAGAGGAGGCTCAGGCTTTTGCTATGGATACAGGTCACAATGCAAAGTGGACAAATATCCTTGGTAGAAAGTGTTGAATATTCACTCTTACACAGAACATTTTTAAATAAATTAATATATTCTCTTAATGTTTTCTTTACAGATTACAAAAGGCTGATGACGTCTTTCTTTGAAAATAACTAGAAACTACTCTCAATGTTTTATCCACAAAATAGCTCAGAGAATCTGATACCACTATAGCATTAATACCTTATAAGAATTAAGTTGAGAGAAGTAAAGTTTGGACATTAACATATCAAAATATATTTAGAATTTTCTATAAATAAATAATTTTAGATGATTTTCTATAACATAAATAATTTAATACATATAGTGGTAGATAAGAAAATACTGTATACTGATATTGAATACTGATACTGACAAATTTGTACATAATACCAGTGCATATCATTCCATTTTCTATCCTTCCCTCGATGGGAGTTATTGAGAACTACTTTTTATTTTACACTGATATGTTTGTGGTTTGATTTGCATGGAACATTTGGAAGGAGAATGTGATAAGGAAAATGTTATCCTCATCAAGACAGATGACCTGGCTTTGTGATCTAGGTCACAAGTAAGGTGGTGTAGTCCAACTGTCTTAGAACATAGTCATCAAGAAGACAAGCAGAGCTCAATCTCACAGTTGCAATACTTATTTCATGATTTTCACCTATTTATAATCACATATAGAGAGTCTGTATTATTTACTGTTATGTAACGCGACAGAAATGACAACCACACCAATCTCTTGCATTTGTCTAAAATCATGGAATCAACCTCAAGAGATATTGAGTAGAGCCAATTGAAATGAACCTCAATAATGGGCTTGCAGGGTTAGTTCAAGGCAAAACAGAAGGTATTCTAGGCAGGTTTCACGGCACAGTCAAGTGAATTCTAACATATTATACAATTTTTTTTTTTAGTTCTTTGAGGACAAAAGGACAGAAGCTCCCATGAAGAAGTTATAGCAAAGCTGAATTTTTTTTCAAATTGATTCTTTCTTGCTTAATCAGGGAAAAACATCATCCATATTTGCTATTCTTCCAAACTCAACCTTAATGAGGTAAGAGACAAAGAGAAGTCTCTTGAAATTTTGTATTTGCAGTTTACAAAATCGAGTATAGAAAATCAAATTTATTTTCCACCTTTCTGTATATTAAGTGATCTTTATATATAGTGTAAAAATATATCACGTCACTTAGAGTTACTGTCAATACACAATAGACACAGTACATTCTTGTCCAAAGATTTTCATTATAAATACCATCCTTAACCAGCCATCACTCAGGAAACATGCCTTTTCTCTTATAAAAAAATTAATTTCAGTGCATAGATTTAAATATGCTATACTTGATCATCTGTTTGTACTTGTTTTCCAGTTTAATAAACTTACCATATAGCATATTTAAAAATTAAAATTGTTTCTAGACATCACCTAAAATATGTGATAGCTTTATGTAAGAGAAATTTCATCTAATACTATTATTGTCCTATATGCAGAGATGGATTAGTTTAATCAAATATATAAGTTTAATCAAATACATATATTCAAAACCTAAGTTTGAAGTTTGTAGCACAGAGAAAGGAATCAGACAGACAAGAGTTTGGATTTTTCTGTGCCATTTTCTAGCCGAATGACTCCAAATTACTTTACTTTGATCTGTATTTTTCCCCTTTGAAACCATATTAGATTACATGAGAAAACATAATCAAAGCAACTAGTAATATCTAATATCTAATTGGGACTCAGTGTTAGCATCGCCTTTTGTTTGTTAGTATACTCATTCTTATGTAGAACATCCATCACCCACATGAAATTTGACAATACAAGGAATACTAAATTCTTCATTAAATTTCTACCTTACGGTAAAAACCACCAACTGGTCATTTTTACCTGAATCAATATTTCAAAATAACGATTTTCAAAATGTATCATTTCTTCAATTCAGACAAGGTGGTGTTTTTCAATAGAGTTTTGAGTCATCAACTAGGATGAATTGACTACTTGAAAATTTCATTCCCACCATAAAATTAAGACAGATGTTTAACGCTTTTCCATTAAATACCAATTTTGAAAATAAGTGTTTGGTATATTAACCATTATAAGTAAGATATATTTCTTCTAGCTTTCTCTCTTTTGTTATTATTTTTATGGATTCGTGGGGTTTGATTTATTTATATCTTTATCACCTGGAATCAATTTTTTCTTATGACACTCAAAGAGTCACGTATTTGTCATTTTGGGTTTCCTCAAGGTAAGTCGTGTCCTTTTGACCTGATCCCTTATTTATTGCAAGCTTTCTTGCTTTCTGGAATAGCAAACTATCTGGACTCAACAATGCTACTTACTTATTAACAGTGAGTACACAATGATTACTTTATATCTTTTCTTACTAGTGAGCTTTATATACATAGCACAATAATGTAAACATGGAGATTTAACTTACCTCCAAATGATCAAATAACTTACTTGTAAGATAGCAGAAGGAAAAACAGAGATGTAACATAAAGAAAAATACTAATTTATCAAAATGTATAGTCAATGGAAATTATACATATTATACATATATGTATACAAATATGTATGTATTTGTTTAATAAGGTAATTTTGAACTAAGCATATTATTATTTTGAATATGAAGGTTTTTTCAATAGAAACAACTAAACAAATGAGTTTAGAATTCCATTTTTTTATCTTGGTTATACATTAGTAGCATCTCCTATATTTCAGGAAATTTTAATTGGTAACTATTGCCACACACTACTTTGATTAAAATTTAAATTATAATATGCAATCAAAAATACTACCAAAATAAAGACTTTGAATTCCTTCAAACTACGAAAACCAAGTAACACAAAATGCCAAACTAATCAAATTTATTAAGAATGATTTATTGTGGAAAATAATTCAAATTGGGGTAGAGGATTTTTGACTTTCATTGACTCTTCCTCAGTATCTATTATACCATGGCAGGAAGCTGATTCCCACAATTAAGCTTTTTGATAATTATGTGGAATACACATATATTTTTAAAGCAGATAAAATTTATAAGCAGAACATCAGATTTTTCTTCTGCTACAGGAACCTGTAACCAAAGAGTCTGTTAAAGAATGAGAAATATTAGAGCACTTGATTTCCTGGGAAAAATAAACTACTTTACATCCCTTCTCCACATTCAAGTGCTAACTACACTTTATTACTCCGTAGGGTCTACTTCACTGGGAAAGGCTAATGCTTCTGAAGAAGCTGCTCCCTCTGTAGTTAGAATTTATGTATGAAGAGACGATGTATAGTACTTGAGGTAAATTCCTGTCAATTATACTCATTGCTATATTCTCCTCACCTGTGTAAACTGATGAACCTAGAACTAAGTCAAACGTAACTCATATTTACCATTTCATGGCACTGAACTAATATTCATCCCCTGGTGCAGGAGGGATTGTGTAGCCCCTTAGCTGCGTTTCCAACAGCCATTTAGAGCACATAATTTAATAGTCAATGTGGGAAAACCCCCAGACAAATAAGATGTGCACCTGTGCTTTCCGAGCTGGGGTTTCACTGGAGATGAAGGCATGAACAACCACAACCCAAGTTAGATGAGACAAGAGCTTTCATGAAAACATAAATGAGTGCTGTGGTAATACTGCAAAAAAGGAAAAGACATTTACTCTGGGGAATGGAGAGTTAAGAAATTTTACTGAAGTCTTCCAAGTGAGGCTTCCCAGAGAGGGTATCTTAATTGAGTTTCAAATAATAAATAAAATTGTCTTGTTAGCTGAATATTGAATACATTTAAACATTTTAAAATGATGTTTGTCTTTGTCATGTAGAAATGGATTAGGCGTTCTGAGAAGTTTTTCATAATATAACATATACAAAGGGCTTACTTAAGTAGTCGTTGTACCAGACAAAAGCTTTAATTTCGTTCTGCTCTTCATTCTCTGGTTCTGCACAGCCTTGCACATCAACCACCCTTTTATTTTGCTTTCCTATTTCTTGTATATGGTTCTCATTTTATATAATTCTCACAACCAATAGGATCTGATAATGATATGATTTTCATTGACTATGTCATCAAAAAAACATGACTGCCTAATTTGTACACAAATAATACCCGTTTCTATAGGTAACCTGGTAAGTCCCTCTAGATGTTAGTAAATGCTTCAAAATTCATTAACTAGTTGAATGTTCTTATGTTAAACACTTTTTTATGTAGTTCATATAAGCCTCTTTTCATTTGTCTTTTAGGAATGTCAGTAAGTGCCTAGCGATGTGTCTTAGTGATTAACATATTGTGCTTCTAGTAGTAGCAACTTTTCTTAAAATAAAAAGATAGCATTGCAGAAACGTTTTTCTCACCCCATTACCACCATTAGGATAGATGAACTGCTGCTACAGTAAGCGCAAACCTTCTAAACAATAACGACAAAAACCACAATAAAATCAATATTCCATAAATGCATTTGGTTTGATAATTGGTCAGGAGCAGCCTACCTTTTAATTATTTCATAGAAAAATCTAATCATGATTGGTTTCTTACCCAAATATGTTCAGCTTTTTCCCTTTGGGTACAAAAATTCTCCTCCTGGGTTTTTTGTTTGTTAGTTTTTAGTAGCTGGAAGATGCCGTGTGTCTATTTGGACTAAGTAAGTGTCAGGCCATTTAACTGAGGACAAAATTTTTCTGAGCTTGCTTGTTCTCTGTGATTGTAACCAGCAATATTTGAGATGGTTGCTTCTACATAACACTGTATAAAACCCTGAGTCCACTAGCCACGGACAAATAGCTTAACAAGAAATAAGCCTTTGTTATTACAATTTTGTGATTTATTATATATATATATATATATATTTTTTTTTTTTTTTTGCCACAGGCTAGACTCTTCTGACAGATGCAGACACTGACCTGAAGAGGAAGATATTTGAGTTTCCAAATCCTGATGGCTGTGCCATCAAGGTTTCGCGATGCAAGAGAAAGCAGATGGGCTTCATTCAGTCCATTCACTTCAACCTCAGGTGTCCTGATGAGTGCTCCTAATTTCACTTCCTGACTTCACTCTTGCTTTGACATGATCCAGAAGGAATGGAGCCTACAGTCAGGTTTATATTGGTTCACATGATGTTGGTCATAACAGCATGGTTGTGGTTATTTTTGTTTGTTTTCTTAAGTTATTGACAAATAAAGAAAATCGAGATTTAAGGTGTGTGTTTATGCTGTGTGTATGTGTGTGCACACACGTGTCATACATATATATGCAAGTATATTCCATCGCCTAAGAATCAGGAAGTATGTTACATTTGGACAGCATCCACCCTTGGCAAAAATCTGCAGAGTCAAGTTTTCCCTTGCCACTCAATGTTGTTCCCCTGACAATGATGCTGAGCACTGGTTGCCATTCATCACCATACTTGATCTGCTGATTTTCTTGCAGAGTCAAGAGGACAGTGAAATCTTTCTTGCACTAATTTCTCTACACAAAGTAGGAAAATAAAGAAGAGAGCAGGAAGGTCCCTCGTTTTAACAAAACTACGAAGATCTAGGTTTCTTTGTGGAAGTAAAGACAATTTTCTGTGTCTAGACTACTTGACTCATTTTTTGTTGTAAGTCCAGTACATATTAAAGGCATCAAACTTATTTTATTTGTTTTCTAATATCTATTTGCAGATAATCTAGAGTAATTCCAAGTCACCAATTTGGTTTATATCATATTCAAAGTAGAACTGATTTCACTTGAAACCAAAATAAAATACCAGCATAAACCATACAATATCTGTAACTGAGAAATATCAGTGAAACCAAATTATATTATTGTGTTACATCTCACGACACGTAGGCAGCAGACAGTAGTGTCTAAGAGTAAGGATAATTAAACTAAATAACCTGAGTTTGAATTCTGGCTCTGCTACCTGTTAGCTTTGTGACTTAGGGAAGTTTCTTAGCCACTCTGTGCCTGGAACCCCAGCTACAAGAGAGGATAAAATAGTGCCTATTTCAGAGGTTGTGCTGTGTAGATTAAATTAGTTAATAGTAGTAAAGAACTTAAAACAATGCTTGTGGAATAATAAGTATGTCATACATATTTATCAAATAAAATTCCCATTTTTATGGTTTGGGATGAATCATTCTTTTGTCTAAAATTTCTATAGCAACTTTTCCTTTGCCAAATACTCTTATCTCTAGTATTCAGCCCATCATCTTTAACTGCAGTTGTTTAGGAATCTGCAGCCCCAGGAAAAAATGACCCTGTGGGTTTCTTCAATTTTTTTTTCTTTATACCTTGGGCAACATCAGTAACCAAACAGAGAATTAAGAAGTATTTGTTGAACAAAACTGCCAAGAAGGTATGCCAATTGGACCATTACATCACCAATGAGAGTTAGCTAATAGATGCCACCCAGTTAGGTCACTTTTACCCAAAGAACTGAGGAGCAAACCAAAATGGTCATGCCTCAAAATGTTGAATATATGCAAAAACTGTCGCTGAGTTTTCCAACAGTAAATTTTGTAGACCTTAGAGATTAGTTATTGACCAAATTGCTTTCATTTTGATTATCAGAAAATTCATAAAGATTTGAGGATCCAGAAAGTCATAATTATAAATTAGTTCCAACAGCAATTTGCCATGCCCCTAAAACACACACACACAAACACATGCACGCACATACACACACACAAGACGATTTAATTTTGCTTGTTAGTTTTACCAGCACACAAAATGAAGGAAATAATAGCAACCATTACCCCAGGTACGTAGTTAATTGCTGCCGGTAAAGTATTTGTAAACAAAAAGTACAATATAAATTCTTAATAATAGTAATTAGTAAAGCTGAGTGATTTTTAAAGAAAAATCTATTCAGTTTGGCTTATTTCTGGCATTTTAAACTCATAAAATTTCTTTACAGTTTCTATTGGCTAAACAAGTGACAATGCACAAAACAAATCACAAGCAGTCAGGCAATTTAAGAATGCATCACTCATTTGCCCACTGGAAGATAATTTTGAAACAATTATCTATGATTATGCAAATATATGCAGAATTCTTAACCTGTAAAGTATTTATTGAGAACATTATAGGCTTCACTTAAATTGGGTTCACTAGCTACCTGGTTAGCAGGTTAGGACAAAAAAAAAATAGAGTGTTTTATTTAGCAAAAAAGGATCATTCTGCAAATACAGTCAACCACCAGAGAAGTCACACACATCCAAAACTATAATAGAAGGTTACACACCAAAACTGGTCATTGGAGAAATTCTGCACAGGAATCCTGTGAACCGTATGGGTGCAGTTATAATGTTAAAAGGTAAAATGGGAGGTGATATGGATGGCTCAAGTTAGAATGCTTTCTATAATAGAAGAAGTAATTCAGCAGTCTTAAATTAGACTTAGAAATTTTAAAGACTCTAATAAATCTGATATTTGGCATTTTAACTGCCTCTCCTAACTTGTTGGAATCTGCCAACATCAAAGGAGCTGGAATCAGAAGAATAAGTTTTTAGACTCAAACCCTGTTACTGTCATTTGCTTGTAGCATGGCCTTTAGCAAAATGCATGTCTTATTTTTGCCTCATCAATTCTATCATCTGTAAAATGGAAAGAATAATAAACCTGTATTAGTGTGTTATGTTGGTACCAAATCAAATAAAATTTGATTAAAGTACTCTGCAAAATAGTTAAGATCTCAAGGTGTATACATATATGTGTGTGCATGCATGTTGATCAATTTATTGGTAAATATATGTTGAACAGAAGAGGACTGAAGGCAAGTTTTTGTCTTTCCAGTCAATTTCTAGAGACAAACTTTCAGTTTGGCGTTGATGATGCAGCAGAAGTAACTTAACTGTATCGTTTAAACTGGTTTGAATAGTTTTATTGGTCTTTGGCTTTCTACATTTTCCCCACACCCCCCACAACCCCTGCAAATTAGGTTACTACATAAAAACTAATGAATTAGTTCTCTGGTTTAGGAAAAATATGAATAAATTAAAAGTTGTTTAAGGGTAATATTCACTTTCCACCTGTTCCATTAGTCTCCAGAATGAAACTGCCAGAAATGTTCATTTCTTTAGCCAAATTTGTCAGAGGCTCAAGCATCATGGTTTAGATTTTTAACATAGAAGAGGGGTAAGAGTACAGAATTTGGAGTGAGAAGGCATTTTCTGAATCCAATTTCCTCCACTTTCTGGTGTATGGCTTTGAGCAAATTTCTTCAGTTCTTGAAGCTTCAGTTTATTCACACAAATGCAAGTGATAATAATTACCTTATTGAAATATGTTGATAAATACATCAAAATTATGATAACTAAATTATATCAGTGTAGGTAAAACACTGTCTTGCTCATATGAAACATAATGAATTCAACAGGTATTGTGTCTGTATCTATCTTAAATATTCAATCCCTGAACACATTTTGATAGTGAATAAGTCTCACTTATTCACTTATCACTCCTGATAGTGAATAAGTCTCATATACTTATTTTTCATAAAGCAATAATTTTCCCAATTGAAAGCAGTAATTTTCCCAGTTGAGCAAACACTAAAGACTATCAGGTTTATTGACAATGATTTTCTAGAGCAGTGCTACTCAAAGTGTGAAATCCAAACTATCAACAGCATCAGCATCACCTGGACCCTTTTAGAAATGCAAATCCCTGAGCCCTACCTTAGCTCTGTGGAATCAAGAATATCTGGAGTTGGGGCCCAAGCATCTGTGTTTTAACCAGCTCTCTAGATGATACTTATCCTACGCATGCCAAATTTTGAGAAGCATTGATCTAGAGTATCAGAATCACATGTATTAGGACTGCCTGAAATGTTTGTGCAGCCTAGACCAGGAGTTGGCATACTTTTGTATAAATGATCAAATAGTGAATTTTAGGTCAGATAGTGAATTTGTGAGCCATATGGTCTCTGTCACAAGTACTCATCTCTGCCATGGAAGTGTAAAAGCAATCACACATAATACATTAACAAATGAGTGTGGCTGTTTTACATTAAAATGTTATTTACAAAAATGAGCTGCAGGCTACAGTTTGCTGATTCCTGAACCCTGTTGTGCTTGTACATTGCACAGCCTACAAAACTCTTATGGACTGAATGTTGGTGCCTATCCCCCCAAAATTCATATGTTGAAGGCTTAACCTCCAATATGATAGTATTTAGAGATGGAACCTTTGGGAGGTAATATGGTTTGGCTGTGTCCCCACCCAAATCTCATCTTGAATTCCCACGTATTATGGGAGGGACCCAGTGGGACGTAATTGAATCACAGGAGCAGTTCTTTCTCATGCTGTTCTCCTGGTAGTGAATAAGTCTCATGAGATCTGATGGTTTTACAAATGGGAGTTTCCCTGTACAAGCTCTCTTTTGCCTACTGCCATCCATGTAAGATGTGACTTGCTCTTCCTTGCCTTCTGCCACGATTGTGAGGCATCCCCAGCCACATGGAACTGTAAGTCCTTTAAACTTCTCTTTCTTCTGTAAATTGCCCAGTCTTGGGTATGTCTTTATCAGTAGCATGAAAATGGGCTAATACAGTAAATTGGTACCAGTAGACTGGGGCATTGCTGAAAACATACCTGAAACTGTGAAAGTGACGTTGGAACTGGGAAACAGTCAGGGTGTGGAACAGTTTAGAGGGCTCAGAAGAAGACAGGAAAATGTGGGAAAGTTTGGAACTTCCAAGAGACTTGTTGAATGGCTTTGCCTAAAATGCTGATAGTGATATGGACAATAATGTCCAGGTTGAGGTGGTCTCAGACAGAAATGAGGAACTTGTTGGGAACTAGAGGAAAGGTGACTCTTGTTATGTTTTAGCAAGGAGACTAGTGGCATTTTGTCCCTGCCCAAGAGATTTGTAACTTTGAACTTGAGGGAGATGATTTAGGGTATCTGCCTTAAGAATTTTCTAAGCAGCAAAGCATTTAACATGTGACTTGGTTGCTGTTAAAAGCATTTAGTTTTATAAGGGAAGGAGAGCATAAACGTTCAAAAAATTTGCAGTCTGACAATGCGATAGAAAAGAAAATCCTATTTTTTGAGAAGAAATTCAAGCTGGCTGCAGAAATTTGCATAAGTAACGAGGAGCCAAATGTAAATTCCAAAGGCAATGGGGAAAATGTCTTCAGGGCATGTCAGAGGTCTTCACAGCAGCCCCTCCTATCGCAGGTCCAGAGGCCTAGGAGGAAAAAGTGGTTTTGTGGGTCAGGCCCAGGGTCCCCACGCTATGTGCAGTCTAGGGACTTGGTGCCCTGAGACCTAGCTGCTCCAGGCATGGCTGAAAGGGGCCAAAATACAGCTCAGGCCGTGGTTTTAGAGGGTGCATGCCCCAAGCCTTGGTGGCTTCCATGTGATATTGAGCTTGTAAGTGCACAGAAGTCAAGAATTGGGGCTTGGGAACCTCCACGTCAATTTCAGAAGATGTAAGGAAATGTCTGGATGTCCAGGCAGAAGTTTGCTGCAGGGGCAGGGCCCTTATGGAGAACCTCTGCTAGGGCAGTGCAGAAGGGAAACATGAGGTCAGAGCCGCCACATAGAGTCCCTACTGGTGCGCTGCCTAGTGGAGCTGTGAGAAGAAAGCCACCAGATCCCAGAATGGTAGATCCACCAACAGTTTGCACCGTTTGCCTGGAAAAGTTGCAGACACTCAATGCCAGCCTGTGAAAGCAGCCAGGAGAGAGGCCATACCCTGTAAAACCACAGAAGCGGAGCTGCCCAAGACCATGGGAACCTGCCTCTTTTGTTTGTGTGACCTGGATGTGAGGACATGAAATTTGGGAGGGGCCAGGGGTGCAATATATGGTTTGGCTGTGTCCCCACCCAAACCTCATCTTGAATTCCCACTTGTTGTGGAAGGGACTCAGTGTGAGGTAATCGAATCATGGGGACAGGTCTTTCCCCTGCTGCTGTTGTGATAGTCAATAAGTTTCATGAGATCAGATGGTTTTAAAAATGGGAGTTTCCCTGCATAAGCTCACTTTTTGCCTGCTGCCATCCATGTAAGACGTGACTTGCTCCTTCTTGCCTTCTGCCATGATTGTGAGGCCTCCCCAGCCTCTTGGAACTTTAAATACTTTAAACTTCCTCTTCTTCTGTAAATTGGCCTGTCTCAGGTATGTCTTTATTGATGAACTAATACAAGAGGTAATTATGTTTATTTGAAATAAGGCCATGAAAGTCAGACTCTCAGCAGGGAGAGAGATCTCTCTTTCTTTTTCCAGAGCATACACCAAAGAAAGGCCATAAGATCACACAGTGAGAAGGTGGATGTCTGCAAGCTAGGAAAAAGGCCCTTACTAAGAACCAAATCTGCTGGCAACTTGAGCTTGGATTTCTTAGCCTCCAGGTTTATGAGAAATAAATATCTGTTGCTTAAGTGACTCAGGCTAGGGTAATTTTGTAATTACAGCCCAAGCTGATTAAGTCAACTGTATGCACTGGTCCTGTTTCTGTGGTCAAAGTAGAACCTCTGCAGCATGCAGCTTCTAACAGATACATTCAGGAAAGCTTCTTTTTTTATTTTAATTTTCCCTATACATTGTTTGTTTAGCCTGTGTCATGATCCTTTGCTCTGTAGCATGATTTATTAGCAAATCATTAAATGGCTACTCATTCTACCTTATTATTATAGCTGTGCAGAATTAACTGAGAATTTTCAAAATCTAGGATAATTGAGTGACTGTAATGTGGATTTTGCAGCAATAGTGCCATTAGAAACTTTGGTTTTCTCAGTGATTTTTATTTACCAAATGTAATCAATTTGTTTTCTGCTTTCCAGAAAAGACTATCTCCCTAAATTATTTCTCTCCTTTTTTCAAAGAGTAGAAGGAAGCATAAATTGTTCCAATTATAACAAAAATCAAGATTCTCCTACCAGCTTTTCACTTTGAAAAGGTAGCTGCCAAGGAGAGGGTAGAGGCCTTTTGCACTGAAACAGTAACTCAGCTCCAAGTGATACTGCTGACATTTTAGAGGAGAACAATGCCAGTATTAATTTATCAAGTGAAAATTTTCTGGCACATTTAAAAATATATTCCAGTTTCCCAGGATATTACTTACTTCCTAGAAATGAGTTACTCCCTGGAAAACGGCCCTCCTCCATTCACCATCTGTATGGACTTTAGCCTGGAAGGCAGAGTGTAGGAACCATCCCAGGCCACAGTCCTAGTTGTGGCCTTGCAGAAAGCAGATACTCTAAAATGTTTATTAAGCGAAATTAAATTTCTAACTCAAAATGCCATAAGCCAATTTAGAATTTTATAAGGGTTAATACAGAGAATCATTTGAAAGATTTTCTATTAACAATTTTTGCTATTGATTAAGTATCTTATTATTCAAAGAGACTCAAGATATAAAAAATTAATTCTGGCCTTAAATTTAGAAGTCAATTAACTCGGGCTTCAAGACTTTATTTATTCATTTATTCTTTCTCTTAGCAACCACTTCTTTGAAAACAAAGATTAATGAAAAGAAGTCCTATTTTTAAAAACTACGTAATACACTTGGAAAGTCAACATAAAAACAAATATTATTATATATAGTATAGTATAGTAAGTATGTTCTAACAATAAAGGAAGGTCTCGATATATCTTATCAGAGATTAAAGTTTCCAAATAGAGATGTATTGAATAACATATGTAAGACAATTGGATCAAAAATACATTCCAGGGTCAAAATGAATTATATTAAGTTAGGGTGTCATGGAGTCATGTTAATGAGGGTAGAAAGTATGAATGGTCAACCATTAATTAGTATAGTGAATAATAAAATTATGCTGGTTGTCTCAGTCTGTTCCTGTGGCTATTATAGTATATGTTAGATTAGATAATTTATAAAAAATAGAATAGACAAATGCACTGTCCTCACATGGCAAAAGAAAGATAAGTCCCAGGCAGCTCTCTGACATCTCTTTTATAAGATCATTAATCCCAT
The DNA here is from genome assembly GCF_000001405.40 of Homo sapiens. Classification (NCBI taxonomy): domain Eukaryota; kingdom Metazoa; phylum Chordata; class Mammalia; order Primates; family Hominidae; genus Homo; species Homo sapiens. Next base: position 37,543,121 of record NC_000011.10, on the reverse strand, counting down.
TCATAATAATGGACCCCTCATGACTTAATCACTCCTGAAAGGGCCCCCACCTCGTAACACTGCAATTAGGATTAAGTTTCAATATGAGTTTTGGAGGGACACAAACATTCTAGCCATTGCCCTGGTGTAACCTTGTATGAAATTGTTCATGCTACAGCTCATAGGATTTTCATAAAAACATACTTTGAATTATACCTGAATAAGCCTCAAACAGGATGCTATAAGCAACTAGAGTTGATATAATTAAAAAGGAATAATAGTCTGAATTTTAAATCTATCCATTGGTGTAGTGCTGGGATGAGTGTTTAAATTGCTAATTGAAAAATAAGATAGCAAAGGTACAATAATGGTAAGAGTTCTGATTATATTAGAGGACAAAGTGGTTCATGAATACATGATTTATGACATCTGCAATTGGTTATAGCAGTCTCTATGGACCTACAATATCTAGTATTTTCACAGTTGTGTATAGTGTAAAGTAAGGGTTAGTACAAGTTCTCTAAAAGGTCAGATAGTAAATATTGGAGGCTTTGCTGGCCATATATTCTTTATAGCAACTACTCAACTTTGCCATTGTACTGTAATTGTAGCCACAGACAATATATAAACAATTGAGCAGGGTGTATTCCAATAAAACTTTGTATTGATACAAAAATTTGAATTTTGTATAATTTTTATAAATCACAAAACATTTCTTTTGTTTTTTTTTCCAACCATTTTAAAATGTAAAAGAAAAAATATCTTAATAGGCTGTACAAAAACAGATGGCTGGCTAGATTTTCCCTGTGGTTCAGAGTTTGCTGATCCCAGACCTATAACTTTTTACTCAATCAATGTTAGAAAAGCTGGAGCAAACATGATTGGGGCAATACATAACAGAAAGTTCAGTAAAAACATACTTGTTAAGATGCTGGATTGACATTAAAGCTCTGAAGATTGTGGTTTAACTTAAATGTAATTACTTGCGTCTGTCACGTTAATGAACCCTCTTCTTGGGCAAGGCTTCATATTTATTTACTAAATTTGTTAATTCTATGTATTCAATTGATGATGCTTTCATAAAGTTGGCCTTATCTCTCCTGTCCTTTTGTACTCTAAGACATATCGTATAGATTGAAGCCACCATGCTCCAGTCTAAACTCAGAGCTCAAGTGACTTTCTTTGTAACAACAAACCTTTACTAGACATTACACAATTAGGATTCAACACTGAGGTCGTAAACCCCTTTGTCAATATAAACCACAGGATAGGATGTGCTGCTACTTCTAGAATAAATTGTTCCATGGATCAAAATTAAGGGTCAATTAATGACTGAGTACTTTGATGGGGTAAGTGTATTTTTGATCATTCAGAGGTTTTCCTATGCTTTGAGGTCACCCTAAACAAAATTACTAGTTTAGGTAATGAATATTTTGGTTCATTAGGGTAATTCATTTTCATATTGAACTAATAGATTAAGCTTCACCTCTTATATATTTGTTACTTTTTTTTTTCAGAAGAAGGTCAATTTCACTGATTAGAAGTAACAGTCAGTAGAAATCTGGTGTGGCCATTGATTCAACTTCTTATTTAGACAAGTGATTATGTTATCTATGCCACAAAGATAAAGGGAGCAGTTTGTGATTCTAAATTAAACTTTGGAGATGACATTTGGACAGAATTTTAGAGGAAGAGAATTAGCCATGTGACCCTTGGGCAGTGCATTCTGGGAAACAGAAGCAGATCTGGCTTATGCAAGAGCAGCAAAGAAGCCAGCGTTGTTGGAGTGGAATGAGCTATGGAGTGAGAGGAGGTCGCAGGAGACAAGATCAGGAGGACTTTATAAGTAATATATGAGCTACATTTAAAAGTAAGAGTATATCAGATGGAAAGTAAGGAGAACATATGGAACTAATAATAAGATTGTCTATTTACTCAATTCTGAGGTAGAAGCTTTACCTACAGAATTGTCTTTGGTCTTTACGGCAGGCTGGCCAGGTAGATATTTTTGTGCCCGTATTACATTGGAGGAGACTGAAGCTCAGGAAGCAAGTTGCTTGTGGTTACACGGTCATGCAACTACTCAGAGACAGAACTGAGATTAGAACTCAGAGTTATGTGTTTGTCCTTTAGAAATCATAATGTGTCTTTAAAATATCCACTGTCAAAAAATTTATGTTATAAAGTTTAAAATTTGAGATAGTTTGGTCAATCTGACCTTATGATCGCTGCTGGATGAAGAAACAAGTTAACAAATCCTACATATTAAAAAATTAAAATTAAACTTAAATCAGAAGTGAGAAAGGAATTATCAGACACAAACACAGAAAATACGGAACAGTGAGACTTCAAATCCCAAAGGCTAAGAACTTTGTGTTACAGAGATACATTGAGTGTATTTTACAAATTTGGTCAAACAAAAATAGTGTACATAGACTTTTTATAAACTAAAACAATTATAAAAGTTCAGCATCATTAAGAATAACATATACATCAACCTAGAATTTCCATTGAATACACACTTTTTTGTAACATCTTTAAACTTTTTACATATGTAACTGGATGGTAAAATGTTTTTGTCTTCTGTTGTCTCATCATGTAATTTAAATTCTATATTCATGATTAAAAGACATAGTATTTACTGATTATAATTTATTATTAACCTTCTTAGAGATATAGAACTGAGCTTTAGAAAAGGGATTTATTGAAGTTTCTTGACATAATAATTTATTCTGACACCAATATTTTGCCAAATTCCCCATGCCAATAAAACACTGAAAAATATTATCATATGGAATTAGTTTATTGAAAAGTAACTTTAGAAAATCTCTTTCATGCACATAATTGCTTTCAACTTCAGTGTTTAGTATTTCAATGTTTCTGCAAAATGCCTTTTTAGTCATAAGTCATTGAATTGGAATAATTTCACCATCATTGTCATTTTTATATGCTTCATGGAAGTATTAAACAAACAATATTTGAAGAACTGGAATAAAATATGTTAACATAAATTTAAGTAGCCATTTTGATATTATGAAATTTCAAGTAGTTTTACAGTTACCACATAGCTAGCTACAAATAAATAACTGTTGCCTTTCCAAAACCTGAAGATGTCATCTTATCCTGTTAGTGCTACAGTAACAAAAACTTGTGACTGGTAGTTTATACAGGACAGACATTTATTTCTCACAGTTTTGAAGGCTGTGAAGTCTAATATCAAGGTGCCCACATCTGGTGAGGAACTTCTTACTGTGTCTTCACATGGAGGGAGGCAGAAGAACAAGCAAACCCAATGCTGCATGGAGCCTCTTTTATAAGGTCCTGAATCCCAGTCATGAGGATGACTCCCTCATGGCCTAGTCACCTCCAAGGCCCCATCTCTTAATACAATCACATTGGTAATAGCTGAATTTAGGAGAGGGCACATTCAAACCATAGCAGATATTTACCAAAAAACTACTTTCATCCATAATCCACTTTTATTTCCTTATACTGTGCTATTTTTCTTCATAATAGAGATAACTTTCTAATATTGTATTTTAACACTTTTACTAATAATTAAAATATAATAAGTGGTATGTACCAACATGTAACATTTGATAAGTTTTATCACTTGTATGCCACCTTTGAGAGAACTTCTACAATCAAGGTAATGCAACTATCAATGACTCCCCAAAGTTTTTCATGTGCTGCTTATAAACCTTCCTTATGGCCCCTTCTTGTATCACCCACTCTTCTTGTACAAGGAAACCGCCACATTCTTTGTCACAATTAAATAGTTAGCGTTTTCTTGAACTTTGCATATGTGGAGTCATACTTAATATACTTTTCCTTCCCCTAGGCTTCATTCAGTCCATATAAATACTGTGAGATGTAACTATTTTCTTGCAAATTACAATAGGAATTTCCATTTCTACTGCTGAGTAGTATTTCATTGAAAGTATACAACAATGCATTTATTCATTCCCTGTTCATGGGCACCTCGATTTATTTTATTTTATTGTTTGCTATTACAAGTTGTTATCTATATGTGTGTACAAGTCTTTGTACATGCATTTGTCAATTAGCACACAACTAAATAGTCAAATAGAAGCTCTCTGAAAATGTCTGGAGCTCTCTTTCACTGGGTGCAATTGCATCACTGACACTGTTCTCAGTTCTTTTCTTAACACAAGGATCTTTTCAGGTTCCACCTAAGTTTTCTCCTTTCTATGACACAACTTAGAAATTATCAACAAAGAAAGTTGGGATACTCATAGGAATCAGTTCTTTTGTTTCCTCACTCAGAAACTTCTGTTCTTTCATAATTTAATGTCCAGTTTTATTTTTAAAAATTTGTTTCATATGAACCAGAAAAGGGCCCGCATCACCAAGTCAATCCTAAGCCAAAAGAACAAAGCCGGAGGCATCACATTACCTGACTTCAAACTATACTACAAGGCTACAGTAACCAAAACAGCATGGTACTGGTACCAAAACAGAGATATAGATCAATGGAACAGAACAGAGCCCTCAGAAATAACACCGCATATCTACAACTATCTGATCTTAGACAAACCTGAGAAAAACAAGAAATGGGGAAAGGATTCCCTATTTAATAAATGGTGCTGGGAAAACTGGCTAGCCATATGTAGAAAACTGAAACTGGATCCCTTCCTTACACCTTATACAAAAATCAATTCAAGATGGATTAAAGACTTAAACGTTAGACCTAAAACCATAAAAACCCTAAAAGAAAACGTAGGCATTACCATTCAGGACATAGGCATGGGCAAGGACTTCATGTCTAAAACACCAAAAGCAATGGTAACAAAAGCCAAAATTGACAAATGGGATCTAATTAAACTAAAGAGCTTCTGCACAGCAAAAGAAACTACCATCAGAGTGAACAGGCAACCTACAAAATGGGAGAAAATTTTTGCAACCTACTCATCTGACAAAGGGCTAATATCCAGAATCTACAATGAACTCAAACAAATTTACAAGAAAAAAACAAACAACCACATCAAAAAGTGGGCGAAGGATATGAACAGACATTTCTCAAAAGAAGACATTTATGCAGCCAAAAAACACATGAAAAAATGCTCATCATCACTGGCCATCAGATAAATGCAAATCAAAACCACAATGAGATACCATCTCACACCAGTTAGAATGGCAATCATTAAAAAGACAGGAAACAACAGGTGCTGGAGAGGATGTGGAGAAATAGGAACACTTTTACACTGTTGGTGAGACTGTAAACTAGTTCAACCATTGTGGAAGTCAGTGTGGCGATTCCTCAGGGATCTAGAACTGGAAATACCATTTCACCCAGCCATCCCATTACTGGGTATATACCCAAAGGACTATAAATCATGCTCCTTTAAAGACACATGCACACGTATGTTTATTGCGGCATTATTCACAATAGCAAAGACTTGGAACCAACCCAAATGTCCAACAATGATAGACTGGATTAAGAAAATGTGGCACATATACACTATGGAATACTATGCAGCCATAAAAAATGATGAGTTCATGTCCTTTGTAGGGACATGGATGAAATTGGAAATCATCATTCTCAGTAAACTATCACAAGAACAAAAAACCAAACACCGCATATTCTCACTCATAGGTGGGAATTGAACAATGAGAACACATGGACACAGGAAGGGGAACATCACACTCTGGGGACTGTTGTGGGGTGGGGGGAGGGGGGAGGGACGGCATTGGGAGATATACCTAATGCTAGATGATGAGTTAGTGGGTGCAGCACACCAGCATGGCACATGTATACATATGTAACTAACCTGCACATTGTGCACATGTACCCTAAAACTTAAAGTACAATAATAAATTTAAAAAAAGAAAAATAAATAAATAAAAAAATAAAATTTGTCAAAAAAACAGATACTGAGAATGTATAATGAAAAAAAAATTGTTTCATATATCCCTGGGACAAAACATTGTATAAAAGTGGCTTAAAAATTGTTAAGAACATCAAGAGAATCAATAAATTTCATAAAAAAGTTTACTAAAACAAGGTCGAGTTATTCATTCCTTTGTTTATATGTGGTACATTCATCTTCTCATTTAGGAATCTTAAGCAAGAATTTTTCACAGGCAACTATTGGAAATTGAAAGTATTGTTGCATGCTTTTTGAAATGACTATTTTTCTCTGAGATTATTGTTTTAATCCCCATAGCTTTAATGGCATTGTTTTTTTCTGTGTGGATATATGGGTTCTAAAATGATGTCACCATCCATGATCTCACAAAAAATATAATTTTGTGCATATTTACCAGAGGATTCAGGTTTGATTTAAGTTTTGTTGATTCAATAAATTGATATTTATTTAGGGAATTATTTTTAAATGACATTTTGTCTACCAAAGGTGTATTTTTAAAAAAACACATTTTTTTTTTTTGTTAGAAATACTAGAATTCAAAATCCAGCTTTACAAGATAGCTTCAGATTTCAGGAAAATTCCCTAACCTCTCTGCAACTCAATTACCTTATCTGTGAATTTCTGCTAATAGTAATACTTACTTCTGAAGGTTTTTAAGATTTGGTGAGAGAGCCAGACACACAGCAGGTGCTCATTGAGTGGTAGTGGTTTTCTATATTGATTATCCTGAACAAAGGGTTTAAGAAGTTAACTCATGTAATGGTTCACTTTTATTATCTGTGAATTTTAATGCTATTGACTAGGTTTTTCGTTTAACTTACTGATTTTTTGTTGTTGTTGTTGTTTGGGTTGACTTCTTTGTAAGTTATCAGTAAATGCAAAAATAAAAGTACTATAATTCTTATTTTTATTTAACTTTTATTTAAATCTTACATAAAAATTATATAAAGTAGAAATAACTGCTCTTTTCTTTCTTGATATGAAGAATTGTTCTAAATTATTTTTTAGTTTAAAAAATGCATAACATCATTTTATAGATCATAACATCTATAACATCACATTATAATGGACTGTAAATTTCTAATTCTGTTGCCATTATACTGCTGATGCTTACCCTTAGAAAAATGATGAATATTAATAAATGCTTCTTTTTTGATTCCATAGAAACTACACCTGAAAAGAAATAGAATTGAATTGTAAGCATCTTTGGGTAGCAATCACTATTATTATCACATGTATGTATATAATATTATGTCTAAATTTTCAATGAATGTCACAAAATGGCCTGCTGAAATAGTCAACCTAGGAAACATTGTAAACTTTTTAGCATTATGTTTTAATGAAAAAGTTTTAAGTCTATTGAACTTTTTGCGTTTTTTAACACTTTAAATAGGTTTGTATGTATTATAACATAAATAGCAAAACTGGCTTTTAATTAAAGACAGAATTACTTTAAAGAAAACACTACTGTTTGGTTCAGTTTGAATTATTTGGATAATTATCATAATTAAAATTTATGGCATAAATGTCTGAATATTTTCTATAGTTTCATGGCTATGAACAATTAGTCAATCCATAAATGTTCAATGGGTCCCCTGTTGGAAAGAATCAATTAGTGTTTGACTAATGTCATCAAAATATTTATCATTGTATATCATATTTATTACAAAAGGCACATGTCCCAAATTTTAACATTTATTCCAATGAAAATACAGTCATTAATTCAATCAAATCCAGTTTGTATTAAGAACAGAATAAGTAAATAAGATATATTAACCATTGAATTCAGTAGTGTAAACAGAAAAAATTAGGGAAAAACTTAATGAGTATTAAAACTAAGCATGATGGTAATCCTATAGCAAACACTTGAAATAATTTTCTTAGACATAATGAAGATAGAACCATATTTAAGGATGTTGCCAATGGCTTGAACTTCCACTTCTAAGAAAGTTGCCCAGTGTTTTATGCAATATTTATGAAATAAATCAACAAACTCTACAATAATGTACAACAAGTTTGAGGGCTCAAGTTGAGAGTATACTCCCCTACAAAGACTTTTCCTATATTTAAAACATTTATATATGATTTTTTAAATTTTATCTGTTCATAGTATTTGCCTATGTTTTTACTGACTTTTTTGCATTTTTCTTCATAAATTTTTAAGGGTTCACCATGTTTGTCATATATATGTTACAAACATTTTATACTTTATCATTTATCTTTTCAATTGTAAATGCATGAGGTATATAGGCATTAAAAATATTTTAGTTAAATATTTCTCCCATTAATGTTCAGTATTTATTGCATTACAAATTGCCATTCTATTACTTTACTTCATCTGAAATACTTCAGTATTTTATGTCAGCTCTAACTACTTTCTATTTTTGCAATATTAGATTTTCTTTGGGTTACAATTTATTTTAGAAGCACATTTAAAATTTTAAATCAGACTTTACAGGCCAGGAGCGGTGTCTCACTCCTGTAATCCAAGCACTTTGGGAGGCCGAGTTGGGTGGATCACCTGAGGTCAGGAGTTCGAGACCAGCCTGGCCAACATGGTGAAACCCCATCTCTACCAAAAATACAAAAATTAGCCAGACGTGGTGGCAGGTGCCTGTAATCTCAGTTACTCAGGAGGCTGAGGCAGGAGAATTGCTGGAACCCGGGAAGCGGAGCTTGCAGTGAGCCGAGATCAAGCCATTGCACTCCAGCCCAGGCTAACAATAGCGAGACTCCATCAAAAAAAAAAAAAAAAAAAAAAAAACCACAGACTTTACAGGCATATGTTTATAATTGATTTCGATTGTAATTGCAATTTGGCCAGTGTCTATAATCTGATTAATATCAATTTCTTGATATATGAAGAGACTTTATGGCCCAATATTTGGTTAATTTTTGTATATATTGCTCATGAACCTAATTTTGTTATCTGTTCAATAAAAACTATTTTGATTCCCTCATTTATTACTTTAATAATTTGAAGGTGAACTCCAACATACGAATATCTTGGAACTCCTCACTTGGATTATTACAACAATAAAAAAAGCTGACAAACTGGAAATCGATAACTTTTATTAGGTGCTTTGGAAAACTGACACTGCAGGGCAAACTGCTACCCCAAAATCTGAACAGAAATAATCACAGCTGGGATCTGCTAATCTGGAACAGAACTTGTTGGAGCCATTAACTGATAGAATAAGTAATTTTGGCAAATGGCCAAGACTGAGTGTAGACTAGTGTGAAAATCTAAGAAAACTTTTGATGACGCCGACCTAGAGGAACTCCACACCTTTGTAGGTTTTGCTTCATGAAACTCCCCAGGTTGTTATGTTGAAGAACTAAGAAAGATTCTCTTATGGTTCTGTCGGGTAAAGGGAGAAAGTGAACATGATGAATATACCAAGCACATTCATCCTAACAAATCCCTACTCTCCCAGGGATGGGAGGAGGTGGTTCATCAGAGCTTTATTTCAGTTGCAGGAAAAACTCTAGTTCCCTTCTAAGCTTCATGGCAAACTTAATGAAATTGCCTTTGCAAAAATCATAACTGAGAAAATTATTACAGTGAAAGTGATCTAACCTAATGGACTGCATCTTGCTTCTAATCTCCAAGCTGTCCTTGTTCATTACTAGGTGAAGGCCAAACTAACTTTGGGAGGAACTTAGTTTATAGGTTAGCTTTGAAACAAAGACAATAACAGCCCTTTCCCATAACAAACACCTTTCCTGCCTGAGCACTAGACTGTCTTTGCAGGATTAACAAATTAGTCACAAGATTAGAAATTATGGTTTAGGAGTCAAGCAGCTGGAGGTTGCAAGATTCTAAACCTCCCAAAATTGTTCCGGGGGATAACATCACTAACGTAAAACCTAAGATCTTTGCTTGAGATATTTTGTAGACCCTGCACTCAATGGCTCAGATGGCACCAGCAAAGACTGATAAACTGGCTCATTTGGTCTTATTGGACCCCACCCAGGAACTGACTCAGCAAAAAAAGACAGCTTTGACTCCCTGTGATTTTATCTCCAGTCTGATCAGTCAGAACTCCAAACTCACTAGACCCTTACCTACCAAATTATCCTTAAAAAGCTCTGATCCCAAAATTTAGAGGGAGACTGATTTGAGTAATAATAAAACTCTAGTCTCCCTTACAGCCAGCTCTGCATAAATTACTATTTCTCTATTGCAGTTCCCCTGTCTTGATATAACTGTTCTGTCTAGGCATTGGGCAAGGTGAACCTGTTGGGGGGTTACATTAACATTTGAGGAAAGCTAATAAACACTTATGAAGGTCTCAATCTAGCAATTCAGGCCACTAAGAGACTGAGATATAATCATGGTATTGTAGATGCTCCTTTTTTTCCTTGCTTTAAAATCAGATTAACTGGGCTCCAGTACACTAACAGTGGATTACAACTGAAAGAGCTGCAAGACAGACTCTTTCAGAGGAATACTTAGCAAAGTCCATAGTCAAGAAAAGATACAAAAACAAAAGCACAAGGAATTCTAAGCTTCTGGCACCTAGAGATACAGCAAACATTAAATGCACCCTGGCTTTTGTCTACATTAATATACATCCTCACAATACAAGACTAGCTCATTTCTAATAACCAATAAACTACGTATGGCTTTCAATAAAACATTACAAGGCATTTTAAAAAGGCAAAAAAAAAGTCTGGAGAGACAAAGGAAGAATCAGAAGTAAACTCAGGCATGACACAGGAAAATTTCATAGAGAAGCACAAAGACATGGGGGAGACCAAAACAAAGACACTAAAGGAATTTAAATCCTCCGGTGTCTACAGCTGTTGCTTACTGCTTAAGATAAATCATCACACTAATGTCCTTTATTCTTTTCAGTTGCTATCACTTGATACATCATGCCTGGCTTTGAACAAAAAATTATGAGACTTGCTAAAAAGCAGAAAAAAAAAACACATTTTGAAGAGAAAATCAAGTTTAGAATCAGATTCAAATGTAACACAGAAGTTTTAGAATAAGATTTTAATGTAACAGATTTCGATCAGACATGACATTTAAAATTACTATGATAAAAATGTTAAGATTCTGGTTGAAAAAATAGACAAAATGCAAAAGAAGATTTAGCAAAGAGGTGGAAATTATGTGAAAGAATCAAAAGGATATGTTAAATATCACAAACACTGTGATAGAATTAAAAAATTGCTCTGAGGGGCTGATCAGTACACCAGAAATTGTCTAGTAAAGAATCAATGAGTTTTAAGATGGCTCAAAAAAAATCAGAAGCTAAAATGCAAAGAGAAAAATGAATGAACAAACAAGCAAACAGACAAAAAGACAGAATAGAACCAAGAATATGGAAATATTTCAAAAACTGGAATGCATGTTTGATTAGAATAGTAAGACAGAAGAAATATTTGAAGTAACAATGGCCAAGAATTTTCCAGAATTAATAATAACACTAAAACACAGATCCAGGAATATCAGAGAACATCAAGCAGGATAAATACCCCACATTTATATCTAAGCATATACAAATTGCAGAAAACCAAAGACAAATAGAAAATCTTGAAACAAGTGTGCATTTTCAAGGGAAAGGACACCTTCCTAATTGAGGAACAAGAAAAAGAATTACAGGGCACTTCTTATCAAAAACCACACAAGCAAATGAAAGTGGAGCAAATCTTTAAAGTGCTGGGAAAATTTAACTTAGAAATATGTATGCAGCAAAAAAATATGCTTCAAATGTAAAGAAGAATGTTAGCAAAACTGGCAACGTAGAAAACTCCAAAAATGTTCTATCCGATTAAAAAACAAGCAGGAGAACACTTGTAGAAAAAAAATGCTGAATTTTAGTGAGAGAATTTTGTGGCATTTTCATTTAACCTTTTATCATTATCTCCCCTCCTCAGCTTTGCAGCACTTTAAAGACAGCAGTCTGGATATGTGGTGCAGGCTGTTCCTGAAGAATCAACTTAGCATTTGGTTTTGTTTCACCTGCATCAGAACTTCCCCAAAACTGAGGCAGATTACCAGGTGTCATTTGTCAAATGACAAATTTTAGATGCTGCCATCTGAAATAAGGGTTAACAATGCAAACAATAGACTGAAAGCTTGGGAGGGGAGAGGCTGGGGAAGGAGATACATGAGGAAATAAGGTTGTTGAATAGCTCTTACATATTCCAGAGTATCAAGAGGGCCATATGCTTGCTCAGCGTTAGAACCATGCTCAGGAAGACCAGAAATTATTCTAACTTCTCAACTTCTGCTGACCTTCAGTGTTCACACAAGCAGGAAGTAAATGATGAGATGCAGTTGTAAACTATCTGGCTAAGCATTGAAGGAGTGCCCCAAGACAGAGCAAATTTCCAACGACTAAGAGAGTTGTATTCGTTTTTGTTATTGTTGCTGTTGTTGGTTTGGTTTGGTTTGGTTTGAGTCCAAGTGTTTAAGAAAATGTTTACCAAATCACTAGCTGACCAATAAGCTAAAGAATAAAGGCATTAGTGGCTCAACACGACAAGCAGTGCATACTTTTCAGAAAAGTCACTAAACCAACCAACAGAAACACTAACAATAAGAGAAGGTGATATGGTTTGGCTCTGTGTCCCCACCCAAATATCATGTCGAATTGTAATTCTCAATGTTGGAGAAGGGTCCTGGTGGGAGGTGATTGGATCATGGAGGCGAATTTCCCCCTTGCTATTCTCATGATAGTGAGGGAATTATCCCAAGATCTGGTTGTTTGAAAGTGTGGAGCACTTCCCCATTCTCTCTATCTCCTGCTCCACTATGGTAAGATGTGCTTGCTCCCCTTTGCCCTTCTGCCATGACTGCAAGTTTTCTGAGAGCTCCCATCTATGCTTCCTATATAGCTTGTGAAACTGTGAGTCAATTAAACCTTTTCTTCTTTATAAATTACTCAGTCTCAGGTAGTTCTTTATAGCAATGTGAGAATGAGCTAATATAGAAAATTGGTACCAGAGAAGTGAGGCATTGCTATAAAGATAAAAATGTGGAAGCAACTTTGGAACTGAGTAATGATCAGAGTTTGGAACAGTTTGGAGAAATTAGATGAAGACAGGAAGATGTGAGAAAGTTTGGAACTTCTAGAGAATTGTTGAATGGTTGTAACCGAAATGCTGATAGTGATATGTACAATGAAATCCAAGTTAAGATGGTCTCAGATGGAGATGAGGAACTTATTGGGAACTGGAGTAAAAGTCACTTTTGCAATGCTTTAGCAAAGAGGCTGGTGACATTGTTCCTCTGCTCTAGAGATCTGTGGAACTTTGAACTTAAGAGAGATGATTTAGGGTATCTGGTGGAATAAATTTTTAAGCAGAAAAGCATTCAAGGAGTGGCCTGGCTACTTCTGAAAGCCAGTACTCATTTGCATAACCAAATAAATGGTCTGAAGTTGGAACTTATATTGAAAAAGAAAGCAGAGCATAAAAGTTTGAAAAATTTGCAATCTGACCATGTGGAAAAAAAGAAAAACCCATTTTCCAGGGAGAAATTCAAGCCAGCTGCAGAAATTTGTATAAGTAAATAAGAGCCAAATGTTAATGGCCAAGACAATGGGGAAAATGCCCTGTGTTATTTCAGAGATCTTCATGGAAGCTCCTTCCATCACAGGACTGGAACCCTAGGAGGGAAAAATCATTTTGTAGGCCAGGCTCAGGGCCCTGTTCCTCTGTGCAGCCTTGGTACATGGGCACCCTGTGTCCCAGCTTCTCCATCTCCAGCCATGGCTAAAAGGGGCTAAGGTCCAGCTCAGGCTGTTGCTTCAGGGTGTGCAAGCCCCAGGCATTGGTGGCTTCCATATGGTGCTGTGTCTGTGGGTGTATAGGAGGCAAGAGTTGAGGTTTGGGAACCTTCACCAAGATTTCAAAAGATGTGTGGAAATCCCTGGACATCCAGGCAGAAGTCTGCTGTAGGGGTGGAGCCCTCATAGAGCACTTTTACTAGGGCAGTGTGGAGAGGAAATGTGGGGTTGGAACCCCCACACAGAGTCCCCACTGGGGCACTGCCTAGTGGAGCTGTGAGAAGAGGGTCACCATCCTCCAGGTCCCAGAATGACAGATCCATCAACAACTCGACTGTGCACTTGGAAAAGCCACAGACACTTAATACCAGATCATGGAATCAGCTGCAGGGGCTCTACTCTGCTGAGCCACAGGGGCAGAGATGCCAAAGGCCTTAGGAGCTCACCCCTTTCATCAATGCGACCTGGATATAAGACATGGAGTCAAAGGAGATTATTTTGAAGCCTTAGGATTTAATGGCTTCCCTGGTGGGTTTCAGACGTATATGGAGCCTGTAGTCCCTTTGTTTTGGCCAATTCCTCCCATTTAAAATGGGAGTATATTTACCCAATGCCTGTACTTGCATTGTATCTTGGAAGTAATTAACTTGTTTTTTATTTTACAATCTCATAAGTGGAAGGGACTTGCCTTGTCCTGGAGGAGAACTTGGACTTGAAATTTTGAGTTAAGGCTGGAATGAGTTAAGGCTTTGGGGCACTGTTGGGAAGGCATAATCGGTTTTGAAATATGCTAAGAACATGAGTTTGGGGAGGGGCCAGAGTGGAATGATATGGCTTGGCTCTGTGTCCTCATCCAAATTTCATGTCAAATTTTAATTCCCAGTGTTGGGGAGAGACCTGGTAGGAGATGATTGGACTATGGGGGTGGATTTCCCCATTGCTGTTCTTGTGATAGTAAGTTCTCATAAGATCTGGTTGTTTGAGTGTGTATCACTTCCCCATTCATTTTCTTTATCCTGTTTCACCATAATAAGATGTGCTTGTTTCCCCTTCACCCTTCCACTATGATTGTAAGTTTCCTGAGACCTCCTAGCCTTATATCCTAAACAACCTGTGGAATTGTGAGTCAGTTAAACATCTTTTCTTTATAAATTGCCCAGTCTCAGGTAGTTCTTTATAGCAATGTGAGAACGGACTAATACAGAAGAAAACCTAGCAAATTCACAAATGTAGAAATTACACAACACATTCTTAAACAACCAGTGGGTCAAAGATGAAATCAAAAGGGAAGCTGTAAAATACTCTCAGAAGTGAAAACAAAAATACAGCATAACAAAACCTAAGGGATGCAGTGAAAGAAGTGTGTAGAAGAAAATTTAATACTATAAATCTCTATATTAAAAAAAAGATCATATATAGATAGCCTAATTTTCTACCTCTGGAAACTAGGAAAAGAAAAAGCGGATCCCAAAACTAAAAGAAAATAAATAAGATATAGCAGAGCTTAAAAAAGTACTGATTAAAAAACAATAAGATCACAGCAAAATCAAAATTTGGTTCTTGGAAAAGCAACACATAGCTCAAACTTTAGTTATACTTACCAAAAAAAAAAAAAAAGAAAAAAAGAGAGAGAGAGAGACAGAGAAGACTAAAATTACTTAAAATCAGAAATAAATATGGTGACATTACTACTGACTTTACAGAAATAAAATGTATTATAAGAGAATACTACACAATTGTGCACCAACAAATTGATGACGTAGGTAAAATAGACACATCCTAAGAAACACAAAAACTGCCAAAACTGACTCAAGAAGCAATAGCTAATCTGAATAAATGTAAAGGAATGGAAGAGACTGAATCAGCAAGCAAAAACATTCCAACAAAGATAACTCCATAACTAGGTAATTCTCTGGTGTGTTCCATCAAATGTTTAAAAAAAGAATTGGCATAAATTATTTTCAAACTCTCCCAAAAAATTGATGGAGAAGAAGTACTTCCTAATTCATTCTCATAGGCTGTCATTATTGTGACAATGAAGCTAGGTAAAGATGTTACAAGAAAAGAAAATTAGAGACCAATGTCTCTTTTAAATATAATTAAAATAGTTTCAATGCTAGCAAAAAATGCTATCAAACTGAATCCAGAAACATACTAAAATGTTTATGCCCCATATAGCTAAGATTGATCCCAGAAATGCAGTTCTAGATTTAAAAAAACCACTACATTAATAGAATGAAAGAAAACAAATTATCTCAGTTGATGCAGATAAATTATTTGACAAAATAAATACCTTTTTATAGTAAAAAAAAACTCTGATAAAAACCATAGCGAAAAACAAGATGGTATGGTGCTAGCATAAAGATAGATATGTAAGATAAATCAAATGTGTCTGAAAGCCTAGAAACAAACCACTAAACTATATTCAATTTATTTTTGACGAGAGTGCCAAGATCATTTAGTATGGGACAAAAATAGTCTCTTCAACAAATGATGTTGATATTCACATGAAAAAGAATGAAGTTGGACAATTAAACGTTATAACACAATCAAAAATAAGTGCAAAATGGATCAAAGACCTAAATTTAAGAGCTAAAACTGTAAGTATCTTAGGAGTAAAAATAGGAGTAAGTCTTTGTGACATAGGATTTGGCAAAAACAGATTCTTATAGACTACATCAAAAACACCAGCAACGAAAGAAAAAAATTGATAAATTAGACTTCTTGCAAGTTAAAATATTTTACATATTATACAATAATATTAGAGAAAAGAGAATCTATACATAGAATGGAGACAATATTTGCAAAGATTGTATCTGGCAAGTCAAGAAAAGCAGACGGTAGATTATCAACATGCTTAAGACAAAACTGATAGAAATGCAAGGTGACATAAACAAATTTACTAGTATATCTGGAGATCCCAACAACTCTCTTTAAGTAATTTATACACTGAGCAGGCAGAAAATCAGTAAGATATGGTTGATTTGAACAGTAAATCAAAAAATTTGATCTAATTGGTAATTACAGAAAGGTCCGTCCAGCAACAGCAGAATATACATTCTTTTAAAACTCACGTGAAACATTCACCAAGATAGTAGATTTCCTGGAGCATAAAACATACATTAAGAAATTTAAAAGACAGAAGTCATAGAAAGTATGTACTCAGTTCATTAAAGAAAGATAGCTGTGGAATACACATGTATTTGGAGATTATAACAAAAAAAACTTGTAAATAATATGAGTCCGAGAAAAATATAATCTAAAATTAAAAATATTTTAAACTCTATGAAAATAAGCTTACAACTCTTCAAAATGTGTTGCATACAGAAAATAGTGTTGAGAGATAACGTTATGAAGTGCATATATTTGAAAACAAGAAAGATCTAAAATCAATAATCTGTTTCCACCCTAGAAAAACTAGAGAAACAAGATTAATTTAATCAGAAAGCAAACAGAATAAAATAAGCAATAAAATTTAAGGCAAAATAAATAAAATTGAAGACACAAAAGCAATAGAGAAAATTGTGATACCAAAAGCTGGTTATGTGAAGAAATACATAAAATTGACAAATCTTTATCTGCGGAGGAACCAAGAATTCTTTATCCACCAGGTTAACCAAGAATACAAGAGAGAACTCACAAATAGCAAAATCTGAAATGAAGCAGTGGTCATCAGATTTTGTAACAAGGATGTCAAAAAGATAATAAAGAAAAACTACAAACAATTCAATGTCTACCATTTTAGATGAAATTGACCAATTTCATCAAAGTTGCATTCTACCCAAGTGCATAAGAGAATTAGATAACCTAAACATGCTTTTATCTATTAAGCAAATTAAATCAATATTTAATACCTTTCCAACAGAGGAAGCACTGGATCTTGATAATTTAATGTTGAATTGTACAAAGCATATAAGGCAGAAATGATATTAATTTTCCATAATAACTTTGAGTAAACAGGAGAGGGAGCACTTCCTAACTCATTCCATTAGGGCAGTGTAACTTTAATACCAAACCCAGATCAAGGCATTAAACATATTAAAGTACACATCAATGTTGCTTGTAAACATAGACTAAAAAATACTTAACAAAAATTTTGCATATTAAGTGTATAAAAATATGCCATGATGAAGTGATGTTTATTCCAGTTATGATCAGTTGGATCAAAATTTGAAAGTCAATCAATATAATCCAACACATCAGTAACCTAAATAAAGACAATCAATCATATGCTAATATCATTGATGCAAAAAATCACTGAAAAATTTCAACACTTGTTGATTATTAAAAATAAAACTCCTAGGAAACTGAGAATACTAATAGAGGAGAATTTCCTCAACATGTTAAATAACATCTTCAAAAAACCTATAGTTACCATACCTAACTGTGAGACACTAGACAATTTCCCCCAAAGATCAAGAGCAATGCAAGGATGCCCCATCTTACCACAAGCATTCAACATTACATTAGAAAAAATAGATGGTATATTAAGATGAGAAGGTAATAAATATGAGAAGATGACAAGGTAATAAAAAGTATACACCACGAGAATGAAGAAATAAACTCTTCTTGTCCACTAATGACACAATTGTCTATACAGTAGAGAAAAACACAAAGAAGAAACAAAAATTCTTCTGAAGTTAATAAGAAATTATAGTGATATTGAAGGGAACAGTATTCATTGTAAAAAGTTCATTGACTTCATATATATCAGCAATGAAGCATTCTAATTTGATATAAACAACTAAAGGTTATTTACAATAGGACCAAAAATAATAATTAGGTGTAAATTTAACAATGTATAAGAACTCTAAGCATAAAACCATGAAACTCTGAAAAAAATGAGAGACAATCTAAGTAAATGGAGAGATATTCTGAGTTTATGGGCTGGATGACTGAATGTTGTTAATGTACCAGTTGTTCTCATCTTGATATCTAAATTCCATACAATCTCAATAAAAACTTCAGCCAGCCATTTTGCCAACATATGTCTAAAGTTTCATGGAAAGGCAAAGACCCCAAAAAGTCAACACAATAATGAAGTACAAACTTGGAGGAATGAAGCCACCTGAATTCAAGATTGCCTATGAAGCCACAGGAATCAATTTATCATGACTTTAGTGAAATAATAAACACATAGACCAATAGAGCAGAACATATAGCCCAGAAATAAGCCACACAAATACAGTCAAATGCTCTTTCACAAAGAAGCAAAGGCAATTCAATATATAAAATGCAATATTTTCAAAAAATGATGCTGGAAAATTGCATGTTCATGTGCACAAAAATGAATGAGACACAGACTTTACACCTTTCACAAAAATTAAATCAAAATGTGAAGCTCAAAATTATAAAACTTCTGAAAAAAAGACATAGGAGAAATGTAAGATAAGCTGGGTTTGGTGATGAGCATCTAGAGATGACACAAAAACATAATTAATGAAAGAAAAATTCATAGGTTGCACATTATTAAAATTTGAAACTTCTGCTCTACATAAGACACTTTTTTAAATGAAAAGACAAGCCATGGGATGGAAGAAATAATTTTTAAAACATGTATCTGATAAAATACTTTTATTCAAAATATGGGGAAAATATTTAAACTCAATATCTAAAAAGCTGAAAACTATTTAAGAAATGGACAAATACTTTTCTGCCTTACAAGAAAGAATGTAGATGACAATTACGTATATAAAAAGATGCTTGACATTATTTGTCATTAAAGAATTATAAATCCATAGAACAATGAGATGCCACTACACATTAATTAGCATGGCCAACAAGTTGGTGATGTTGTAGAGCAACATGAACTCTTTTATTACTGATGGTAAATTAAAATGGTACAGCCACTTTGAAAGACATCTTGACAGTTTCTTAAAAAGATACATATACCCTTACCATACTATGCAGCAATTGTACTTCTAGGTATTATCCAACTGATTCAAAAACATGTTCACACACACACACACACACACACACACACACACACCCCTCAGTTAAATGTTTATTACAGATACACTCATAATCTCCCAAACTGGAAAAAAATATATATATTCTAAATGAATGCTGGTACAGCCTTAGTATGGACTATTTTCCAGTGGAAAAAAAAAGAGGTATCTAGGCATAAGAAGACACGAATGAATGTTAAATGCATGTTGTTAAATAAAAGAAGCCAGTCAAAAAAGCTACATACTAGATGACTCTACCTGTCTAACATTCTGAAAAGGGCACAGCTGTAACGATTAAAGTATCAGTAGTTGACAAAGTTTTAGTGAAAGAAAGGTGAGAATTGAATAGATGAAGTACAGAAGAAATTTAAAATAGTAAATTTATGCTGTATGTTACTTTAAGTGTTAATACATAGCTCTATAAGTTTGTCAAAATCCACAGAACCTCCCAGTACAAAGAGCAATCCTTAATTAGCAAAATTTTTAAAAAATTATAGAATTTTTGGGGAAATTCAACATGGAATGCAGGTTGTGACAATTTATAACTGTATTCTACAGATGTGAAGTGATCTCCCTGACAGGTGTAGACAAATAAAGGTGCTTGCCTAAGTAATTTTTTAAAATTTATTATTTTGAATTTGCATTGGTCCATAGCAGGTGTATATATTCATGGGTTACAGGAGATAGTTGATACAAGTATGTGATGTATATTAATCATATCAGTGTAAATGGGCTATCCATCACCTCAAGCATTCACCCTTTGTATTACAAAAAATCCAATTATACCTTTTTAGTTATTTAAAAATGTGCAATTAAATTATTATTGACTATAGTCTCTCTGTTATGCTAGCAAATACTAGTAGGTTTTATTCATTCTTTCTAAGTATTTTTTGTACCCATTAACAATGCTGATTTCCTTGCTGATTAGTCCATTCTCACATTATTGTAAACAACAATCCAAGTCTGGGTAATTTACAGAGAAAAGAGGTTTAATTGGCTCATGGTTCTACAGGCTATACAGGAAGTATGACTGGGGAGACCTCAGAAAACTTATAGTCATGGTATAAGGCAAAGGGGATGCAGGCATGTCTTACATGGCAGGAGCAAGAGGAGGAGAGAAAAGGGGGAGATGCTATGCACTTTTAAACCATCAGATCTCATAAGAACTCACTCACTATTATGAGAAGAACAAGGGGGAATCCACCCCCTTGATCCAATCACCTTCCTCCCGGCCCCTACTCCAACATTGGAGATTACAATTTGACATGAGATTTGGGGACACCACAAATTTGAACCATATCAACTGGCAACCCC
Organism: Homo sapiens; assembly: GCF_000001405.40. Classification (NCBI taxonomy): domain Eukaryota; kingdom Metazoa; phylum Chordata; class Mammalia; order Primates; family Hominidae; genus Homo; species Homo sapiens. Next base: position 37,522,241 of record NC_000011.10, on the reverse strand, counting down.
CAACTACCCTTCTTAGCCTCTGGTAACCATCCTTCTACTCTCTGTCTTCATGAATTCAGTTGTTTTAATTTCTAGATCCACAAATGTGTGAGAAAATGTGAAGTTAGTATTTCTGTATCTCAATATAATCACCTACATTTCCATCCATGTTGTGGCAAATGAAAGGATTTCATTCTTTTCTATAGCTGATAGCAAATACACACTCCATTGTAAATATATACCACATTTTCTTTATCCATTCATCTGTTAATGGACACTTAGCCTGCTTCCAAATATTGGCTATTATAAATAGTGCTTCAATAAACATGGGAACACAGGTATCTCTTTAACATACTGATTGCCTTCCTTTTGGGTACATATCTAGCAGTGGGACTGCTGGATTGTACAATAGCTCTATTTTTAATTTTTTGAAGAACCCATATAGTGATTGTACTAATTTAAATTCACAACAGTGTATGAGAGTTCTCTTTTCTTCACACACTCTCCAGCATTTGTTATTCTGTCTTTTGGATAAAAGTCATTTTAACTGGGGTGAGATAATATCTCATTGTAGTTTTGATTTGCATTTATCTGATGATCAAAGATGTTAAGCACATTTTTATATATGTTCTCATATTTGCCTTATGTATGTCTTCTTTTCATATATTTCATATTTGAAATATATATGAAATCATATTTGATTTCATATATATTTGATGAAATATATATGAAACAATATTTCAAATATATTTGAAATATATATGAAATATATAAAATCATATTTCATATAATATACATTTCATATATATGATATATATAACATTTCATATAAATTCATACATATGATTTCATATATATTTGATATATATTTCAAATATTTCATATTTTCCATATGTATGTCTTCTTTTGAGAAAAGTCTATTAGATCTTTTGCCCATTTTAAATTGGATTATTAGATTTTTTATCATTATATATTCTGGTTATCAATCCTTTCTCAGATGAGTGATTTGCAAATATTTTCTCCCATTCTGTGGGTTTTCTCTTCACTTTGTTGATTGTTTCCTTTGCTGTGCAGAAGCTTTTTAACTTGATGTGATCCCATTGGTCCACTTTTGCTTTTGTTGCCTGTCTTGTGAGGTATTACTAAAGAAATCTTTACCCACTCCAATGTCCTGGAAAGTTTCAACAATGTTTTCCTTTAGTAGGTTTACACTTTAAGGTCTTTGATTTAAGTCCTTAATGCATTTTGTTTTGATTATTTTATATGGCAAGAGTTAGGGGTTTAGTTTCATTCTTCTACATATAGATATCCATTTTTTGCAGAAGTTTTTATTGAAAAGACTGTCCATTCTTCAATATATGTTCTTGGCATTTTTGTCAAAAACAAGTTCATTGTAGCTGTGTGGATTTGTTTCTGGGTTCTCTATTCTGTTCCACTGATCTACGTGTCTGCTTTTATACCAGTACCATGCTGTTTTGGTTACTATAGCCCTGTAGTATAATTTGAAGTCAGGTAAAGTGATTCCTCCAGTTTTGTTCTTTTTGCTTAGGATAGCTTTGGCTATTCTGATTCTTTTATGGGTCCGCATAAATTTTAGGATAGTTTTTCTATTTTTGTTAAAAATGTCATTGATATATTGACATGGATAGCATTGAATCTTCAGATTGTTTTAGGTAGTATGGAAATTTTAACAATATTGATTTTTACAATTTATGAACATAAAATATTTTTCCAATTATTTGTGTCCTCTTCAATTTTTTGCATAAATGTTTTATAGTTTTCATTGTAGAGATCTTTTACTTCTTTGCTTAAGTAAATTCCTACATATTTATTTTCAATTTGTAGCTATTGTAAATGAGATTACTTTTTAAATTGCTTTTTTGGATTATTGACTGTTGGTATTAAGAAATGCTACTGATTTTTGTATGTTGAATTTGAGTGCTGCAACTTTACAAAATTCGTTTATCAGTTTTAAGAGTTTTTCTTTTGATGGAGTCTTTAGGTTTTTTTCAAATATAAGATCATATCATCTGCAAACAAGGATGATTAGACACCTTCCTTTCCAATTTGGATGCCCTTTATTTCTCTTGCTTACTTTCTCTAGCTAGGACTTCCAGTAACAGTTTAATAACAGTGGTGAAAGTGAGTAGACTTGTCTTGATCCAGATCTTAGATGAAAGGCTTGCATAATACTAGCTGTGGGTCTGTCATACATCATATTTATTATGTTGAGGTATGCTCCTTCTATACCCATGGTTTTGAGGGTTTTTATTATGAAGGGAGGTTGAATTTTACCAAATGCTTTTTCAGCATTAATTGAATGGTCACATTTGATTAATTTTGTCCTTCATTCTATTGATGTGATTCATCACATTGATTGGTTTGTGTATATTGAATCATCCTTTCATGCCTGGGATAAATCCAACTTTGTCATGATGTGTGATCTTTTTAATGTGCTGTTGAAGTCAGATTGGTAGTATTTTGTTGAGGATTTTTGCATCAATATTTGTCAGGGATATTGGCCTGTAGTTTTCTTTTTTTGATAGGCCCTGTCTGATTTTTGTATCAGGGTAATGCTGGTCATATAGAAGGGGTTTGGAAGTATTCTCTTCTCTTCTATTTTTCAGTAGAGTTTGAGTAGGATTGGTATCAGTCCTTCTTTTAATGTCTGGTAGAATTCATCAGCGAAGACACTGGGTCCTTGGCTTTTCTTTGCTGGGAGACTTTTTAATATGGCTTCAGCCGGGCGTGGTGGCTCACGCCTGTAATCCCAGCCCTTTGGGAGGCCTAGGCGGGCGGATCACGAAGTCAGGAGATCGAGACCACAGTGAAACGCCGTCTCTACTAAAAATACAAAAAATTAGCTGGGTGCAGTGGCAGGCGCCTGTAGTCCCAGCTACTGGGGAGGCTGAGGCAGGAGAATGGTATGAACCCGGAAGGTGGAGGTTGCAGTGAGCCGAGATCCCGCCACTTCGCTCCAGCCTGGGCGACAGAGTGAGACTCCGTATCAAAAAAAAAAAAAAAAAGAAAGAAAAAAATATGGCTTCAAATTTGTTACTTGTTATTGGACTGTTCTGGCTTTAAATTTCTTAATGGTTGAATCTTCATAAGTTATATATGCCTTTAGGAATTTATCCATTTCTTCTAAATTTTCTAATTTATTGGCATATATTGCTCAGAAAAAGCATTAATGATCCTTGAATTTCTGTGGTATCAGTTGTGATGTCTCCTTTTTCATCTCTGATTTTATTTTGGTCTTCTCTTTTTTTTTTCTTAGTCCAGCTACAGATTTGTCAATTTTGTTTATCTTTTCAATAAAAACAACTTTTTGTTTCACTGACCTTTTGTATTGTTTTCTTCATTTCAATTTTATTTATTTTGGCTCTTATATGAACTATTTTTTCTATTAATTTTGGGTTTATTTGCTCTTGATTTTGTAGTTCTTTAAGATGCATTGTCAGACTGTTTATTTGATTTCTTTTTCTCTTTTTTGAGCTATAAATTTCCCTCTTAGTACTGCCTTCACTGTATCCTATTGGTTTTGGTATGTTGTGTCTCCATTATCATTTGTTTCACAAAATTTTTTCATTTAAATTTCCTTCTTAATTTCTTCATTGACCCATTGGACATTAAGGAGCATATTATTGAATTTTCATATGTTTGTATATTTTCCAAAATTCCTCTTGTGTTGATGTTTAGTTTTATTTGATTGTGCTCAAAGAAGATGCTTGGTATTATTTTAATTTTTGAATATCTTAAGACTTTTTTGTGATCTAACACATGGTCTACCCTTGAGAATGATACAGGTGCTAAAGAGAAGAATATATATTTTGCAGCTGTGGAATGAAATGTTCTGTAAATGTCTATTAACTCTAATTCTTCTGTAGCACAGGCTGAATCTGATGTTTTTCTGTTGACTTTCTGTTTAAGAGGTCTGTCCAATGCTTAGAGTGACGTGTTGAAGTCTTCGGCTATTATTGTATTGGAGTCTATATTTCTCTTTAGCTCTAATAATGTTTGCTTTATATATCTGGGTACTAGTGTGGGGTGCATATATATTTACAATTGTTATATCCTACTGCTGAATATTGTTTTATCATTAAATAGTGACTTTCTTTGTTTCTTCTTAATAATTTTTGTCTTGAAATCTATTTTGTCTGGTACAAGTATAGCTACTCTTGCTTCTTTTTGGTTTCCATTGCCAGGGAATATCTTTTCCCATTCCTTTATTTTCACTCTGTGTGTCTTCATAGGTGAAGTGCATTTCATGTAGGCAACAAATTAGTGGGTTTTGTTTTTTCATCCATTTGGCCACTCTATGTCTTTTGATTGGAGAATTTAGTGGATTTACATTCAATGTTATTATTGATAAGTAAGAACTTACTCCTGCCATTTCATAATTTATTTTCTAATTATTTTGTGGTCTTCTTTTCTTCTTTCCTTCATTCCTATTTTTCTTTTAGTGAAGGTGATTTTCTCTGGTGATATAATTTAATTTCTTGCTTTTTATTTTTTGTGTCTCTGTTGTGTGTTTTTGATTTGAGATTACTATGAGGTTCGTCAATACTAATTTATAACACATTATATTAAACAGATGACAACTTAACATTGATTGCTTAAATAAACAAGCAAAATAAAACTAATAAAAACTAAACACTTAAATTTTGTCCCCCTGCTTTTTAACTTTTTGTTGTTTCTCTTTATATCTTTATATCTTATTGTACTATACTGTCTATGTCTTGAATTATTGCTCTAGTTGTTCTTTTTATTTATTTATTTATTTATTTTTTGAGACGGAGTCTTGCTCTGTCACCCAGGCTGGAGTGCAGTGGCGCGATCTCAGCTCACTGTAGAGCAGGAGGCTCGCCTCCTGGGTTCATGCCATTCTCCTGCCTCAGCCTCCCAAGCAGCTGGGACTACAGGTGCCCACCACCATGCCCAGCTATTGTTTTTGTGTTTTTTTAGTAGAGACAGGGTTTCACCATGTTAGCCACGATGGTCTTGATCTCCTGACCTCGTGATCCACCCGCCTCGGCCTCCCAAAGTGTGTAGTTGTTATTTTGATTTGTTCACAATTTAGTCTTTCTGCTTAAGGTAAGAGTAATTTACACACTACAATTGCAGTGTTATAATAGTTTATGTTTTTACATGTACTTACTACTACCAGTAGTTTTGTACTTTCAGGTGATTTCTTTTTGCTCATTAATTTTCTTTTTTTTTTCTGATTGAAGAAGTCCCTTCAGTATTTCTTGTAGGACAGGTCTGGTGTTGATAAAATCTCTGAGCTTTTGTTTGTCTGGAGAAGTCCTTATTTCTCCATTATATTTGAATGCTATTTTCATCAGATACACTATTATAGGGTAAACTTGCTTTTTCTTCTGTGCTTTAAATATGTTATGCCACTCTCTCCTGGACTGTAAGGTGTCCACTAAAAGTCTGCTGCCAGATGTATTGGAGTGCCACTGTATATTATTTGTTTCTTTTCTCTTGCTGGTTTTAGGATTCTTTCTTTATCCTTGACCTTTGAGAATTTGGGTACTAAATGCCTTGAGGTAGTCTTCTTTAGGTTAAATCTGATTGATATTTTATAACCTTCTTATATTTGAATATTAAGGTGTTTCCCTAGGTTTTGGAAATCCTCTGTTATTATCTCTTTGAATGAACTTTCTAAACCTATCTTTTTTCTACCTCTACTTTAAGGCCAATTACTCTTAGATTTGTCCTATTGGGGCTATTTTCTAGCTCTTGTAAGCACGCTTGCTTCTTTTTTATTATTTTTTCTTTTGTCTCCTCTGAGTGTGTATTTTCAAATGTCTTGTCTTTAATCTCACTAAATATTTCTTCTGCTTTTGATAATGCTATGCATGAGTGCTAGAATAGATTAATTACATCAATATGTAGTGGGTACTAGGAGCCAGGTTTCTCACAGTTTGAGTAGAAATTTGAAGACTTTCACATTAGAAAAGAAAGGTTAAAATTATTCAAGTGGTAATATATTTGAGTTGTAGACATCAAAATAAATTCATTAATAGCTTAATATAGATACAGATAGTTACATATAAATGTATTCCTAGATATATTATATGAGATAGTATACATACATAGTTTTATTTGCTCTGTTAGGTGAGAGGACCCAGATATCATGGCATCCCAATAGCAATAAGCACATTTTCCACAAAATTTTGGTTTCTAATACCACTCTCCAATCGAAAGAACCAGGGGCCCTTGGAGAAACGTCTGATTTTCATTACCAGATAATAAATACATTAATGAAAGCCTCAAGCATTTTATAGCTCAAGAAATTAAGAAATTCTCCCCCCTCCCAAAAAAAGAAATACTTACATCCCAAAAAAGAAGCCATCTGAAAGAGTTCACCTTGGCCAAAGCTGGAATAAGTTGAGTACCAATATAATAAGATAGTATGGTATTAAAGCCTGTGTGTGTGTGTGTGTGTGTGTGAGAGAGAGAGTGTATGTGTGTGTGTGTGTGTGTATTTTTTCATGTCTCTCTAGTGATATTATTAAATAATTAAATCAAGCAAAGACAGATAAACAAGAGACAAATCTCTTATGTAGAAGAAATAAAAATTGCTTTTCCCTTGAAGCGGTGGAACACAACTCATTATTTAAGCATGGGCTGTTCTTAGTGACTTCCATCTTAAAAGCACAGTATAGAAAGGTGGGAAAAAGGGTAGCTACAGTGGAGAAACTTAAAAAATGCTACCTCAGTGATATGGTTTGGCTGTGTCCCCACCCAAATCTCACCTTGAATTGTAATAATCCCCACATGTCTAGGGAAGGACCAGGTGGAGATAATTGAGTCATAGGGGTGGTTTCTCCCATACCGTTCTCCTGGTAGTGAATAAGTATCATGAGATGTAATGGTTTTATAAATGAGAATTCCCCTGCACAAGCTCTCGTGACTGCTGCCATATAAGACGTGACTTTGCTCCTCATTCACCTTCTGCCATGATTGTGAGAGGCTTCCCCAGCCATCTGGATCTGCGAGTCAATTAATCCTCTTTCCTTTATAAATTAACCCTTTCCTTTAAAAATTAACCAGTCTCGGGTATGTCTTTATTAGCAGCATGAGAAAAGACTAATACACTCAGCCAGGTGATCAAAGTTAACAGCAAGAGTTATATCATGTTGATAGTACCTACCCTTAAATTGAAGTGATGAAAAATGGCATTTCACCACTGTCCTTGTTCTGCCAAAAGCCCATAAATCCAACCTAATCATGAGAAAAATAGCAGATAAATCCAAATTATGGGACATTCTACAACATACGTCACCAGGACTGCTCAAAATATCAAGAATATGAAAAACAAGAAAAGTGTGAGAAACTATCACAGCCAAGGGGAGCCTAAGGAGACATGACTATGAAATATAATGTGTTACTTTGGATGAGATCCTGGAATAGGAAAATGACAGTTAAAAATTAAGAAAATTTTAGTTTTCAAACCTAAGAACATTAGTTAACAAAAATGTATCAACATATGTTTGTTCATTGTAACAAATACACCATACTAATTTAAGATGTTGATAGTAGGAAAACTGGGTAGATGTGGAATATATTGAAGCTCTACTATCTTTATACATTTTCTGTAAACATAAACCTGTCCAAAATAAAATTTATTTTAAAAATATAAGTATATATTAATAATTCCATTTTTTAACTCTGGAGCTGTAGCTCTGCTGTTTGCTGTTTTCACTTAGGGTGTAACTTTGTACTGGGACCTTATGTTTAACTGAATGTTTTTCTTCTTAATAAAGAAAACTGTGTGAAAAGTGTGTTGTTTATACATGCATAGAAAGAATTTCCTCTTGCTTTTCCCATAAGGATATCAGCCTGGAACTTCGTTATTTCCTCAACTTACAGTTTCTCAGACTGCTATATAGATAACTTTTGCACATACTGTGTAAATGTAAGTGGGTGACTACAGTGATCACAAGAGACTTCTACTTCTGAACTCATCTTGACACATACACATTTTTATGTTGTCTGTGTTCGCTACCCTAGAACATCCTTTTACTAACATTTTTTTTGTTTTTAGCTCTCTAGGGTTCTAACTTTAAGAGGTATCTCATTTCAAGTTATTTTCCCTTTATTTCCCAAAATTTTGTTATTTTGTTAACTAACTTAGTTTGTTAAAGGATGTTTCCTTTAAAACATAAGCCTTATGTCTCAGAGATAAGCAAAGCCCCAGCTTCTACTGAACTTTCTCTTCGTTTCAATGCCTTCCTTGGTTTTGGCTGCTAAAATGTGTATTCCTCTCTCCAAACCTCAACTATACTTTAGAAAAAACATTTCTTTTTTAAAAATGTTTTTACTGTGGTAAAGTATATACAGTTCATTGGTAACAAATACATTTATATCCTTATTTCTCTTCCTCAATCCTCCCTCTCTCTTTTCCTACCCCACCTCTGGTTACCACCATTCTACTCTTTATCTTCATGAGATCCATTCTTTTTAAACTCCCATATAAGGGAGAATATATAAATATGTGTCTTTCTCATAGTCATTTAACATAATGGCCTACAGCTTCATCCTTTAAGCTACAAATGAAGAAAATATGTTTTATGGAAGAATAACGTTCCATCCTGTATATGCACCACATTTTCTTTATCTATTAATCCCTTGATGGGAGATTTTATATTTTGACCATTGTGAATAGTGCTGCAATAAACATGGGAGTGCAGACATCTCTTTGATATATTGATTTCCTTTCTTTTGGGTATATATCCAGTAGTGGCCTTGCTGAATCATATGGAAGTTCTATCTTCAGTTTTTTGAGGAATCCCCATCCATACTTTTCTTTTTAGTGGCTGTACTAATTTACATTCCCATCAACAGTGTATTAGAGTTCCCATTTCTCCACATCCTGGCCAGCACCTGTTATTGTCTGTATTTTGATACAAGCCATTTTAACCAGGGTGAGATATATCAAATTGTGGTTCTATTTTGCACTGGAAAAGATATTTCTAATTTTCATGCAATAGTTATATGGATTTCAAATGGAAAGATGTTCATCATATATAAACTGTTATCTTTTGTGGTTAAAGTTATAGTTTTTAATTGTTTCTGATTCTAATGTCAGGTTTAGAAAGTATATACCAAGTTTAAAGAGATTGTCACAAATTGGACTTAAAATTTTAAATTCTGTATACATTTTAATTAGTCTGAATTCATTTACTGTATATTTTGAGTTACATATTAAACATTTTCTATGTGTATATAGATCTTTACGTGTATATATTTTATATATACTCTTTTCATATATTAGCCTGATTCCAATAACATATACTAAATATGAATGTATTCTATTACCATTTTAATGCCACATTGATCATATACTAAATCTCACATACATCTTTTGTTCAGTTTTTAATCTACATTCTGTTGAATTAATTAGACAATGTATTTATTTTCCCCAACTTTCAATGATCAAATATAATTCCCTTCTTTTTTATCCACTAAGAAGAGCCCTTATTTTTTCTTACGTATTACACTGAATAGTTTTGAAGATTTATTTCAGAACAAATGCCTGTTGTCATCTTTCTGTCTTTTAATGCTTGTGAAGGAATTTACAGAAAACAAATTCACCAGTGAGAGTTTGGTGGGAGTGCATTGCTCTTACAGATTAATGTTAGTATTGCTAAATTTTATCATTAATTAACCAATTACTCAACATTTCTATGACTCAATCACCTTGTCTTTAAAACATGTTTAATGGTGTACCTGCTTCATAGTGATAGTACATACCACATAAGAGCACTTTGAGTATAAAATAAGCAGAGTATTATTAGCATGTAGCACAAGTTAGAAAGAACTGGTAAAAAGGAGGAGTCAGAAATCCAATAGAAAGAGTGGATAACTGATGGAGTAATATTTCAGAGGATGCAACAAGTGACAGGACTCCAAAGTCCTGGCAGAGGGCCAATGTCTTACTTGTTATGTCAGATGAGAAAGTAAAAAAGATTTAGATTAGATGGTGGGGATTTAGATAAAGTTTAGGATTAGAGGTAGGAGATTGAATTAACCTTTTTTTTTTCAGGGAAATAAAAGGAAGGTCAACTGCAGACATACAGAAAATAGTTTGTGGTAGGAGGTGTTAGAAGAGTACAGATGCTTGAAATAGTAGCTGTGGAGAATGAGAAAGAAATAGATAGGAAAAAATAATAATTTCTGACAGTGTTGACATTCCAGTTAAGAATGGTCATTGTGATAGATTACACTTTATTTTCCAGTTCTTCACTCTGCTTTAACAAGGTTATACTCTCACACCCTTTGGCAGGTAGCATAGCAGTACTCTCCAACAATGGGTGGTGGATACTATCTGGCCCCTCAACACTGGGCCTGGCTGGGTGATGTGTTTTTGGTTTGGCTGATGAAATATTAGGAAATGCGAAGCAAGCAGAGGTCTGGCTGCACATTGGCTTGGCTATTGAGCTTCACTGTAAGAAGAACAAAACTAAGGTAACCACAGGTCCAAAGAGGGTGAGCCTTGCAAAGCAGTCCTGAACCAACTCAGAGCCTGAAGCCAGACTTAGCTATCCTGATGTCAGAGCAGAGCCAGCCATCCTACTGCCAGCCAAGTCCTCACCTAGACCAGACAAACTGCAGTCAGCTTGCAAAGCCACAAACATTAAAAAATGAATAATTACCAAGCAATTGTATTTTAAGGTGGTTTGTTAGGCAAGATTATTGCAGCAATAGCTGACTAATATACAGACCATAAATATGTACCAGCACTAAAATGTGTAGTAATTTTATTCAACAGTGTTTATGAGGCATAGTGTAGGAATGGGAAAGGAATGGAAAAGAAGAATGTATTCATTCAAGTTTGTGATTTTCTTGAATAAGAGGTATGGGAACAATTGACAAGGTAATGGTTAAAGTTATAAACAAGCCTCTTTCTCTGTTATTAAAGAAAAAAATTACTAGCTTTATTGCTGTCATACTTTTTTTCTGACTCTGTTACCTAAGATAGATAGATATAGATAGATGATAGATAGATAGATAGATAGATAGATAGATAGATAGATAGATAGATAGATGATAGATAGATAACTTTGGACTTTAAAAAAGCTATTTGAAATCAATTTACCTTTTATATTTCTATCAGAGTTTTTTTTAAAAAAACATAAATGAAACCATGAATTAATCTCTTGTTTTTAGGAATTAATTCCAAAATCTTTCTCATACTTGGCCTCTGCTACCCAGACAGCATGCTACCCCTTTGACCTCCTATCTGGATATTATTTTGCCCACTCTATGTGACAGAGCCCTACTGAAGGCTGTCATGAATTTATTTTGCTATTCATTCTGCATGTCAGACCATTTCCCACCTAAACATATAGCTGTAAGCATGGACACACACACACAAACACACACACACACACACACACACAAAAACCCCTAGAGAACGCCAATTCAGATGTCACCAACTTCTTCAACACACACAACCCAGACACACTGGCTTGGTTTTACTCTTTATTAAGGTACTGAATTACTTCGATACTGCCTAGTAAAGTGTCATTACCTTTAACTCCCTGAGTGCCCTGTCACTCTCATTTTTCTGGCCCTGCATGAGACTTTCTGCCCCTTTCTAGGAATCTAGCAACTATGGGATCAATGCGTGCCACATTTTGGGGTACCCAGGTCCTTTTCCAGCTCTAGGACCAGCATCTTTACTCTTGTTGGTCTGTGTATATGGTAGACTCTGTATTAACATATTTTAATATCACCCTGAATACAACCTTGTGAATACTACTGATGCAGCACTTTCTTACTTGAACATACATGTATGTGTAAGTCTGTCATAGGAAAATGTTTACTCTTAAAGTTAGGAGCAATATCTTTATAGTTCTTTTATCCCAAGTGCTTAGTAGAAGTTTATTTTTAATATTAAAAATGAATAGAAAAAGAATCAGAGAATCCACAAGTTATTGTCAGCTAACAACATAATAGTGCCCCAAATAAAATTTAGAAATTTCTATACATAAAATTTTAGAAATATATAAGCCTGATTTTAATTGACTTCTCTAATTTGCATTCCTTTTGTAGGGCTGGTCAGTGATCCATTTTCAGTTGGAAACAAATTGGTTTTATCATGTCCTAGGTTTCTTCCAAATCTGCATGAGAATTTCGGAGAGCAACACTTTGAAGATGGCAGAGAGATCATCGGTATTTGTTCCATTCTCTTCTGTCTCATGAAGGCTGGAGTTTACGGCAGGATGGTTTGAATGAGTCAAGTACCTCATATAATCTTCACGTAAGAATTTTGAAAGTTGCCTAATTAACAGAAATACATGGAAAGCCTCCCATGTCTGAGACCTTTAGAAAAACCATTTGAACAGCCTGATACACAGGGAATTACTAACAATTCCAATTCACCAGTCTCAGGGCAAGGCATATGCTTCAAATTCAAATAAACTTCAGTGTTCTTCAGCTGTCTGAAAATAGCCACTCCAAATGATTGCCTTGTGTATAATTCTGGTTTTATTATCTCGACACATTAAAGAGTTTACAGATTTACATATTGAAGCTTCAGCCTCAGGCTTTAGTGACTTATTGCTATGTCATGGCTCATATCCTTTCTTTAATACTGTGTTTCCTAGAGATACAACCGATCAAGTCACAAACTGTATGTCATGACTGTCATTGTTCAAGGGACTCAGAATCCAGGGGTCAGGTTCATTCTTCAAGGACTTCTGCTACAAGTAGATCTTTGCACCATCATCAATCACTTTTTTTAAATAGACTTTTTTGCTATTATAATTTTCCAATATAAATAACATAATTTTCTGAATCCAGGGTCATTATTCTCTTCAACCTTACTCAGAAAAAACTAAGATCTGAAGGAGGGGTATCCCAGAGCCTAGATATTGAACAAACTGTACAAAAATATTTTAAAAAATAAACTAGGTCACACACCACAAACACATACACACACACACACACACACACACACACACACTCCCCTTTGTCAATGGCACATAATTTTTTAAACTATACTTTAATTTTCCACCCATTTATTAATCATTCTTTTGTTCTGTGAAGCAAGGTGGTAATATCCGTGTGTGTGTGTGTGTGTGTGTGTGTGTGTGTGTGTGTGTGTGTGTGTATTAGGGATGTGGTATGTAAACAAGGAGGAAGTAAAGGGTTTCTAAAACTTGAGATTCCAGGACAGAATGAATCCTGGGGATGAATATTTAGAAAAACTATAGTTTTACAAATGCAAGGTTAAAATAAGCAATCAAAAAAGTGGAGGCATCTGAACTACAGAAAGCCCATTTTGAAGTAATGGCACATGGAAGAAATGACCTTGTTTATAAACAGATATTAAAGAGCAAAAAAAAAAGTTACTATGCACAGAGAAGCGGATTTGTCAGTGAAGGGGTGTGCCCATGCCCTTTTTTTTTTTTTTCCGATGGAGTTTCACTTGTGTTGCCCAGGCTTCAGTGCAATGGTGTCCAGGATGGAGTGCAATGGTGTCCAGGCTGGAGTGCAATGGCATGATCCCGGCTCGCTGCAACCTTCGCCTCCAGGGTTCATGTGATTCTCCTGCCTCAGCCACCCGAGTAGCTGGGATTACAGGTACCCACAACCTCGTCTGGCTAATTTTTGTATTTTTTAGTAGAGATGGGGTTTCATCATGTTGGCCAGGCTGGTCTCGAACTCCTGACCTCAGGTGATCTGCCCTCCTTGGCCTCCCAAAGTGCTGGGATTACAGGTGTGAGCCACCATGCCCAACCACCCATTTTTTTTAAACCTTCTGTTTCCTAACAATCTGGTGATCCCTCTCTCCCAAGCCCTCCAGTCCTGAGAGTGGCAGCTGATTGAACTTCAAATGGTGGGAATCATTTGAGTATTGATCTTAGTAGCTGTAATTGGTGGAACTATTTTTTACCTTACTATATGCTTAAGAAGAGAAAGTGGGTCAACAAAAAAGAGCAAGAAAGAGCAGACAGAGACAGAGAAAAGAAAAAAATCAAATGTTCCCATGAAAGATAAAGGGAGTCTCTTGTTCCAACTAATTTCTGCATTTTCTTCAAATTTTTTGAGGAAAATCCTTTTATTTCTGTAATAAAAGATTGTCCAATAGGTGCAGAAGAGTATTATCTTAATATTTGTTAGCTAAGAAACAAATATGTGTCCCTCTGCATTTTTTTTCCTAAAATAATCACCAAAAAAGTTAAAATATATTTACTGTTGAGGGAAAAATACTAAGCACGGAGACAGGCCCTCACTTCTGTTTTCTTATTTTTCTATGTTGCATATATTTACTTTGTAGGGACAGAAAGGTGTGATACCTTTTCTCTCCCATCATAAGGGTCATGGCCAACTCTCCTATCGCAAAAGACAGGTTAACAGGAGAAAAGCATAACACCCAGTTATTTAATCAAGTTTTACATAAGCCTTCAGAAATGAAGACCCAGGGAATCTATTTTTATGCATGGATTTGATGAAAAATTGATGGCCATGTAGAAATGTGATTAGACATAGGGTATGTTCTAATGGTAATAGAGAGGAGAACCTCAGCAATACTTGTCTTCTTAGATTCTTCTTGGTCTCCCTACGCCGCAGTCTTTCCAATTCTTTCTCTTCTAGGTATGGAGCAGGACCTTTATGGAATTTAGAATCTTTTAGAAAGAAGGGAGAAGAAAGAGAATGATCTTTCTAGGTTTTATGGCTTGTTTGAGGGAAAGGGGATCTAGTTGCTAGGATTCACCTTGGTGAAAAAGAATTCTGATTTTTGTGACTTTCTTCAGGGGAAGAAGAGGGGCAGGAAACAGGAGAGCAGGAGAAGGTCAGAAAGAAACTTTACTTTTAAGGCTCCTTCTTTTTAAATTTTTTTCTTGATGCATAATAGATGTTTATAGTTCTAGGGTACATATGATAATTTAATGCATTCATGTAATCAGTGTACTGGGGATAACAATCACCTTAAATATTGCCTTTTCTTTATGTTAAAAACCATTCAATTTATTCTGATGCCTTCCAATATCCTTTAGATCAAAGTACTCAGCTTGCCAAAGCACCATACTTTGGTGTATCATTTTCTGAGCCCCAGCAGCAACAAGGAATATATGTAGCATGAAATTACAGGTTATCTATGTATCTTAAACAACTACTAATACAGATTTCTA
The DNA here is from genome assembly GCF_000001405.40 of Homo sapiens. Taxonomy (NCBI): domain Eukaryota; kingdom Metazoa; phylum Chordata; class Mammalia; order Primates; family Hominidae; genus Homo; species Homo sapiens. Next base: position 37,507,107 of record NC_000011.10, on the reverse strand, counting down.
TTGTAAATGTGAAATTGATCTCTCTCACAACAATTAATCAATCTCTCACTAGGAAAAGCAGATAAGCACATATCAGTTCTATGTTTTATCTGTTGAATCTACGTAACACTAATGAAACACTAGCATTCTAATGTGAGAAAACAAATAATTTCCAAAACAATTGTGAAGAAGCTCAGTTTCCAAACTTTGTGAATCTTTCCCATCCAAGTGCAACTCGGGACCCCCATTTAAAAAATATATATTAATCACCCACTTTGTTTCCCTCCCCTCTCATCCCTTCATTCCTTCCCTCTCTAGACACTCCCCTCCAGCAATGCATGGTTATGTAATTATGCTCTTGCTTAAGAAATTCCATCAGCTAACTTGAAACAAACCAGGCAGAGAGCCCCAGTTGCAGAATTCTCCCGCTTAAGGGAAGTTAAGAACAATTCGTCCACCACCAACAGGCTGAGGTCAAAATAACACCAACCAGACCTCCAAACAATTACCCAAGATATCCATCAGAACAAAGACACACAGACCCTGCCCCCTGCACCATGCCCACGTATCTCCCATACCAACTCCTTATGGTAAAATTTAAAATTTAAGATGGTCTTTGTGACTGTAGTCCACCATCTTCTCGGCTTGCTGGCTCTCTGAATAAACCTGCTTTTCCTCCCATCAACTCTCATCTCTTGCGTCTGGCTTTTGAGTGTTGAGCAGCTGAACCTAGGTTTGGTTATACAAGCAATTTTGATATTGTAAAACAAAAAGTAAGTGAGACAAGTTTCAATCAATTTGGAAGTTTATTTTGCCAAGATTAAGGACATGTCAGTGACACAGCTTCAGGAGGTTGTGAGAACATGTGCCCAAAGTGGTTGGATTACAGCTTTGTTTTATACATTTTTGGGAGACAGAAGTTCCAAAGACATCAATTGATATATGTAAGGTGTACATTGGTTTGGTCCAGAAAGGAAGGATAACTCAACGTGGTCATAGGTGGGGCTTCCATGTCATAGGTGGGTTTAAAGATTTTCTGATTGGCAATTGCTTGAAAGTGTTAAGTTACTATCTGAAGGCCTGGAATCAATAGAAAGGAATTTCTGGATTAAGATAAGGGGCTGTGGAGACCAGTGTTCTTGTTATGCAGAAATGAATCCTCCAAGTAGTAGGCTTCAAAGAGATTAGATGGTAAATATTTCTTATCAGGCTTATAAAGGTACCAGAATCTTAGTTAATCTCTCCTGGATCAGGAAAATATTTGGAAAGGGAAGGGGATTCCCTATAGAATACAGATTTCTCCCACAGGAGACAGCTTTGCAGGGCTATTTTAAAATACATCAAAGAAATACATTTTAGGATAAAATACTTTGATTTCTTCCAGGGCCTGCTATCTGTCATTTTGTGATATACCGTATTGTCACAAAGAGTCCGTTTGGTCAGTCCTGAGACCTCTGTTTTAATGTGAATGCTGATTAGTTGTGCCTGAACTTCCATGGGGAGAAGGTATAATGAGGCATGTCTAATCCCTCATTTCCATCACGGCCTGAACTAGTTTTTCAGGTTTACTTTGGAATGTCCTTGGCTGAGAGGCGGGATCCATTCAATTGGTTGGGAGTCTTAGAATTTTATTTTTGGTTTACAATATTGAGATGCTGCACAACAAGTATAAATTTATCACCATTTTCTCAGCATTTTAAAAAGGTAATTACTCAAGGTGTGTTAAAAAAGCAGTTAAGAAATATTGGTTGAATAATTTTAAAATATATTTCTGAAACTGAAAATCACAGACTTAGCTTATACCACACACAGCAATCATCTGAAATAATTTCCTCAAAACTAAAAGGGCAAGACCCAATACTGGTGACTTGGCAATTATCAGAGAGAACTGCTACATAACATTAACACTAAATAGATCCAGGTTTCAGTTTGCTTCATTCCAATAAGATGATGGCTGTTTGCTTATCTTAGCCATAGATAGAGGGTGGGTGGCGTGCGTTCCCTCAGGTCCCATTTTTTTCCCCCACAGCTGATATCATTATGAATCATAGCCCTCGGTTTCAGTGAGCATAGGTCTTGTCTCAGATTCCTTCTCAACATTCCATGAGAAAAAACTAATTTGTCATAACTACTTAGGCTGTAGTTTTTATGAAGCTATAATTTAGAAATCTATGCAGGAAGTAATAAGGGTTTGACATTAACTCATGACGAATAATAAAGAGTGCCTTTGATCCTTTTTCTCCTGGGCACATATTTTATGAAAATATATACCTTCCATTAATGAGTCCAAAAAAAGAGACTAACAACAATGTTGAGATAAAATAGATACCACTTAATAATTACCCAGTATGTCCCAAACACTGTGATAAGTGCTTTACTCTTCTTATCTTGTTTAATCTCAATAACAATTCTATGAGATAAGAAATGATATATCTGCAGTTGCTGAGAAGGAAACCAAGGCTTAGAGAAGTGAAATAACATGCTCAAGATTACTGAAAAATTCGCTGACAGCCAATATTTGCTAGCCAGTTGTTCTGACTCCAAAGCCTATCATCTTAACAATTACACTAAAGTGCCTCTCCACCTCAGCTACAAAGTCCAGTATTCAGAGACAGACTGCTCTTTGCTGAGAAAGTTGCATTGCAATGACCTCATTGTGTAGCGCTTGAAAAGAGTCCTTTCTCATTAATTAAGGAAAATTCCCTTTTGGCAAGAGCAGTCCCCACTGTAATGAAAGCAAAGCACTGGTCTTCAATTTAATAGGGATGCTTTCAGCTCTGAGGGCAAGGAAGGAGGCAGCTCTGAGTCATTACTTATTGCCACACTCAGTCAGTGGAACAATCATCAAACATAGAGGGCCACATTCTTTACTCCAGGTTGCCAGAGCAAAAATAGTGCTTCCTCTCACTTTCAACCTCAGCTTATTTGATTATGAATCAGCTGTTACTAACTTTAGAGCAGTGGTTACCGCTTGGGGTCTAGTAAGGATGTGATGAGGTCCACATGCTGTCGTTGTTACTTCCAAAGCCTAATAGTTGTGCTAAGACTTTATAGATTAATGAAGACACAAAATGCCCCTGATTTTGATAAGGATGTTACCAAATGAATGTGGTTATTGTAAGATGAAACCCCAAAGCTGCATGTATTTCCCTCCAAAAGTCTGGATTGCAGGCACTTTCCCACTGCATTCACATCTCTGCTTTAAATTGTCTCCATCCCCTATGATACTGTCACTTGTGCTATAGATGTCAGCAGGAAATGAACCAGAAAGGCTTATAATAATGGCTTTCATTGAAGGTCAACATACTGATATATTGTAGTGATTACATTTGGTAGAGCAACACAATGAAACCAAAGATACGGGGTTACTGAACTCTGAGTCTAAAAGCCAACATTTATATTTATGCAATACTACTTGTTTCTTCCCCCATTTTCACTTGTGGAACAGAAAGTGGCTAGCAGAGGATGCCAACATTTAGCATATACTATTAATGTGTAGTAGAAACTAGGTAATGTTTTATAGTCACACATTTATTCCCTACAACAACCCAATGAAGCAAGACCAATTATTGTCCCTGGGTGAAGGAAATGAGTTTCTGAGACATGGGGCCCCACAGTTAACAAGCCGCTCAGTTGAAATTCACAGCACCCTGATATGTCACCCTAAATTTCAAAGATAGGGTGGGGCCTTTCTCACAGGTTCCAGATCTGCTGCTTCTTTTCGCTTACTTGGCTCCTTGTGCAAACACTGGTCATAACATTAATCCTGAGCATCTTCACATTGTTGGTGTACAGTCTCTGTCTCTTGAATTTGGGCTGTGGCTTCCTATACAAGAACAATCCTCATTTGTTTCACATTAGGAACACTGGATCCCATTCAAATGAAACCACATACTTTATTGATATCTATCCTATCTACCTTATGAGAAAATATCATTTGGGTATAAAAAATGATCTTCAGAAGCCCAGATCACTGTCTGATACGGATACCTTTCAATAGAGTTTCAATGATTAAAAATTAGTGCAAGTACAAGGCTCTAGATCAGAAGAAAAAATAAGAAGAGTAAGTTTCCACTATTACCCACTACAATAGTCAGAGTCATGTGGTTTTACATCTTCCCAGGATGACTCTGTAATATAGCACATGAGATTTTAGCTGAATGCTCTTATCTGGCCCTATCATTCTCTTGATAGTGTGGTGCAGGAGATAAAAGTTTGAGATCAGAAAAACATGGGTTTGAATCCCAACTCTATTACTTAAAAGCTATGTGAATTCAAAGAAATTACAACTCCCTGGACTGAATGGTAGCTACCTTCCTCAAAAAAAAAAAAAAAAAAACCCTCTGAAATACTACAAAAACATGATCTCCATAAAGGTGAATCAAAACCCTCCTATTGCTGCAACAATGCTCGATAGGTATAGGCACACAGCCATCATTTCATGTCATAACTTAATATCCTCTTTTCCCATTCTCCATATACCCTCATGAACAATTAGACCTACTTAATGCCATCTGCTTCTAATTCACTCCTATAAAATTATTTTGCATCTGTCTTTACACCATGGCCTCTGATTTTGCCTCTCAAAAATCCTTAGTCGATAAAAAAAAGTCAATTAATCATATTAAAATGAAATATTTTTCAAGGGTTGTGAAATCACTAAAGCAAATAGCAAGAAATGACAAGCAGAATAGCAAGAAGATTCTTACAAACATTGCAATTGGACAATTTACTTTCAATTTCAATTTGAGCAAATCCTACAAGCCACATATCCTTTAGAAGCATACCTACAGCAATAAATATGTAAACATAACATTTGCTGAAAGTGCAAATGAAAACCTGATCTCAGTTTCATGGAATGCTAGGACAGTCGTATTGGAGATACAGATATAAAATGTTAATCATTTTGTCCTATGTTGAATTTATTCTCGGCATACCATGAAAGACCTTAAGAAATTAAGATTCATGTAAATGGAGTTGGGAGTCAGGATGGTAACATCTCAATTAGACAGGAAATTCTTATGATGTTGACGAGTAAAATGACATGTCAAATTTTATAAAGCTGGCTTTACTGACTTATATTTGAGGATTTCTTCTGTTTCAGGGAATTAATTTAGGACATCTCCTATGAAATAGTGATAGAAAATTTTGTTTCTCTGGTGTCACAATATGGGAGAGAAACTTATGCCCATGAATATTCACACTTCCACCCTCACTCTACCAACGCTCCCAATTCCAAACACTAGAAATCTTAGTTTTTCCAGGGAAATTCTCATTTTTCCTGTGTTTTTCTATGTTTTTGTCTTCTGTTTTACTCATGAAATTCATGGGTATTTTTCTAAGAAAATTATCATGATGTAATTCTGATAATATGAGCGAAACAACCAATGAAACACTTCTGATGTAATAGTCAATCTGTAATTTTTGAAATGGGCAAGAGTGTCCACTTCATGTAGTTGTAGCGAGGATTATATGGTTCATTCAAATTAAAATGTTTACACCTTGCACCTACTAGTCATGCAAAAATTTTTAATATTAGCAATTTTGTTTTTACATATGTAAAATAACTCTATTTGTAAAGAATAAAACATTAAAGGTTTATTTTTTTAGACTCAATTAAAATAATTTTGTAGGCATACCAAAATGTCATGGGTTCTTTAAATGATAATGGAAAGAAATCAACTGATCAGATTAGAGGACATTTCTCTCCAACTCAGAAGTTAGTTATCACGAAGTAAGGGTCAGTTACCTCTTGTATATTTAGTTCATAATCTAGAATTGGGATCAAATTGTGATGTACATTAAAACATTATTTGACCTTGTTTATTATTATTTGATCTTGTCAAGAATGACACTGCTTTTGTCATCAGAGGGAACATTAATCAGCATTCTTTTTTATCAATTTATACATCATCAAAAATACATTATGAACTTTCCCTCAGAATGTGAATATGGTCTTATATTCAGCTCAATATTTTTATCAAGTTAAATTCTAACTAGGATCTTAATTGATAAGACCTATATTTTTCTGTCATGATAACATAGCAATAGCATATTAAAAAGTTGAGGGCTTTTGCCTTGTCAGATTTTAAATGCATTTTCTATTATCTACCTTTCTACTGCTGCCACAACAAATTATCAAAAATATAGCAGCTTAAAAGAATACACATTTTCTTCTTTTAACGTTCTGTAGATCAAAATAATACCAGCCTCACTGGGGTAATATCAAGACGGTAGCGAAGTTGAGTTTCTTTCTGGAGGCTCTAGAAGAGAATCTGATTCCCTACTCTTTCGGGTTGTTGGCAAAATTCAACTTCTTGTGGCAGCAGAATTAAGATCCCTGTTTTCTTGCCGGCTCTCAACTGAGAGCCACATCCAGCCTTAAGAGGCCTTATACATGCCTTGATTGGTGTCTCCTTTCCCTGTCTGCAAAGCCAGCAACAGCTAATCTAACTCCTTTCACGGTTCAAATCTTGCTGACTCTACCTTCATCTTATCTCACTGACTGACTCATCTGTTCCTGTCTTCCACCTTTAAGGGCACACATTACTGCAATGAGCTCATCCAAATAACCTAGGGCAATCCCCCTATTTTAAACTCTGTAAGTTTAATTGCTTCTGCATGCATATGTGTGTGTGTGTGTGTGTGTGTGTGTATATATACACATATATATGTATACATGTCATAAGGCAAATATATATATATGGAATTTGATAAGTATATATATGGAATTTTCTATTATCTTGATTATATTACCTTACCTTGATTATATATTTGCCTTATGACATAATCACAAAGTCCATTGATTACAGCATGAATATCTCTGGGCACCCATTGTTCTGCTTACCACACTGATTAAATATCTCTCAGATTCTCTAAACAGAAAGAATTTGTTGTCTAAATACTACACAGACAGTTTCAATCATAAAACCTAGGCAAAGCAATGTATGATGAGAATCTGTGAAAAGCAATTTGTGGATTTTGTCAAGTTTTTAAATCTGTATTTAGAGCTCTGTCTGAGTTTGTCAACATTTTAAAATCAGTTAAGCAATGCTCAGAATGCTTCATTGCAAAACGTTTCATGCGCAATGCAATTAGAGACAAGACTGTCTAATCCATTTAATAGCTATTTCAGGTGATGGTTTATATCAAAGAAACAATATTTCTTAAGTGTTCACATTGTACAGATATCATTCTAAATGCCTTTTAAAATCCATGCTCCCATCCTAGAGGTTAGTTATACTATTTTTAATAACATTTTGTAAAAATTGGGAAACCGGGCTGGGTGCAGTGGCTCATGCCTATAATCCTAGCACTTTGAGAGGCCAAGGCGGGTGGATCACTTGAGGTCGGGAGTTCGAGACCAGCCTGGCCAGCATAGTGAAACCCCAACTCTACTAAAAAATACAAAATTAGCCGGGCCTGGTGGTGCGTGCCTGTAACTCAGCTACTTGGGAGGCTGAGGGAGGAGAATTGCTTGAACCCGGGAGGTGGAGGTTGCGGTGAGCCGAGATAGCGCCACTGCACTCCCGCCTGGGCAAAAAAAGCGAAACTCTGTCTCAAAACAAAACAAAACAAAACAAACAAACAAAAAACATAATACTAAAGATCAGAAAGTTGATATAGTCAATAATGAGTAGAGCTGGGATTTTAAAACAGGGAGACTCCCTCTGGGTAAGTTCTGGTCAGTAGAAATTTCTGTGATGATAGAAAATTTATATCAGCACTGTTCAATAAAGTAAACATTACCCACATGTGACAATGTAGCTCGAAATATAGCTAGTGTGAATGAAGAGATAAAACTTCTGATTGTATTGAATTTTAATTAATTTTAATTTAAACAGTATTTTGTGCCCAGTGGCTACCATATTGGCTAGTGTAACTCTACAGTCCATCTTCTTAATCAACTCACTGCACAGCCTCAAGAAAGCACTTTGCTACTTCTTGACTATTCTTTCATAAGCATATGCGCTGCAGCTCAAGTTATGCTTTGCATTTCTGAGTTTGGAAATAGAACAATTTTAGCATCGTAAATAGTCTAATGTAATAGTTTATCTCTTGTTATGATTTGTGGAAACAAAATAGAGAAGAAATCTGCTTGGCAGATCATTTTATCCTCTCTTCCACTTCTGTTTAGGTGAGATAAATCACTTATGGTTAATATACACAGTGTTCTGTAATGCAACGCCATGATGTAAATTAGCCTTGGTTTTTCTATGGGTATGTAAATTGTCTTTTTTAGGGCTTTATTTATAGAAAATTTCAAACATATAAAAATGTAAAGAGAATGGTACTTTGAAACACAATGTTCTCATTATCTAACTTTTAAAATTATCAGTTCATGGCTACTTTCACATCTTCTGTACTCACACATGAAACAGAATATCAAATGTATTTCAATTAATTTCAATTATTATCCTAATTGATTCAAAAACCATTCCAATTTTGGATAGTAAGAAACTGTTCATTGGCTGATAATTTTTTTATTTGTGTTTTATTCTACCAACTGCATATTCACTTTCATTTGTTTCAGCTAACTTTCAGTTTTAATGTAAGTTAATTTTACAGTAATAAAAAATTTCACAGGGTCTCAAGTAAAACATAAAAAACTAGACATACTAAAAAATAATCTGTATCCCTGTCTGCTCTCAATTTTTTTTGTTTCCCCTTTAGGTAACAATTTTTATGACTTTATTTATTTTTATTATCTTTTTCCCTTATTTACTTTATTACTCTATTACTTCATTTTATTACTTTATTTGCTTTATTATCTTTCTACTAAGGTATATAAATAAATACATATATCTGTTAATTTTCTTCATTCTTGGATAAAAATATGGGCTAACATACGAAGCTTTCTCTTCCTTACTTTATTTAACAACATTTCCTGCCAATCATTACGTATTAGTACATAGAGCTATCTTTTATTCCTTTCATTGCAGCTACATGGTTCTTTATTGCATCTATGAGCTATTTTTTTATTTAACAAGGTCCCTATGAATAGATATTTGGGATTATTTTCAGGCATTTAGTATTACAAGTCATTCTTCAATTAATAGCATTCTTCATAAATCTTTTCATGTTTTTGCCAGTATAAGACTTTCTTACATACAAAAACAAATGGAAAAACTGTAATACCTAATTCTTTTAAAAAATAATCTTTTCAGAGTATGGTAATTCTGTGAGAGTCTAATTTTTGCTAGTATGTAGAAATATGATCACTAATTTTATTGAGATACACACACCCTTTGCATGCACACAAACCTAAAAGTATAGAGGTAGTGGGTGACTTTTAACACCTCTTGATTTCTTTCCACAGTTACAAAGCTAGAAATTCATACCAAAAGGCAATATACCTTTTACTTGAAAAGTTCCAGAGTTGTATTAGTAATGTGTTATTTTTTATACTGTCCATTTGAAGATAAGGAAGCAATCTCTATCACTGTCTCCACCTTCCTCTATATCATCACCAAAGGACAGAATATGAGCTTGTGTTACTCAATTTCAGATCTGATGAGGCCACGTTTGCTGGAAGGTAGGGTCACTCTTCTTTTGAAAGGTCTTAAACATGAAAGAAACTATGCCTTTCTCTGGTGCTCTCTTCTCTTCACATGTGCTAGGAAAGTAAGCACACTCCTGTAGGCCCTGCCCTGCCCTGCCCTGCCCTGCCCTGCCCTGCCCTTCCTTCCCTTCCCTTCCCTTCCTTTCCTTTTCTTTCTCTTTCTTTTTTCTTTCTTCCTTTCTTTCTTTCTCTCTCTTTCCTTCCTTTTTTTCTTCTTTCTTTTTCTTTCTTTCTTATACTTATATGTCTCTCTGTAGAATTTATGTATCATTCATTCTATATACTGAAAAGTCAACTTTATTTCTACATGGACGGAACCTCTCTCTTCTGCCGCTTGAGAACCTGCATGTTCCCTTGGGAGCAAATGTGACTTCTTTTACATTGTACCTCTCTGATTACATACCCTCTTGTGTTAACAAATGTTAGGAATTGCTCTCTTATTTGAAGCCACTTAGGGCTAAATAGCTTAAGAAAAATGGTTGCTCCATATGGTTCTGTATAACTTACCAAATGTGTCTGTATCATCTGGTTCAGGGGCCAAGTCTATCTAGCAATGTATTTATTATTTTACATCTTTAAGCCACTAATCCTCATGTATTTATCTTCCTCAAAATCTAAATACCTCTATTATTCATTCTTCTGTCATAGAAGCACTTTCAAGAATACTAGAGATTACAGTGAAATTTGATGTTTCACTATTTGAAAAGGACAATTACTGCTTTTATCATCTTCTGCAAAATGCCACGCAAAGAATTTGGGTGTTAGACATAAGGCTCTCTTCCCATCAGTAAGGAACAAATGACTGATGTCTATTATGTGATTCAACTCCATCGTAAAATATAGCTGTCAGTAATAAATATAAGGAGACATAAGTTCATTTTGCAAGCAAAGGCTAAAGTGTCTACTTGGCATTTGAGTTATAATTTAGCCCTCCTTTACCTCCAGCTATATAACATATTCTTAAAATTTTACAAATCAGAACAGAAATGTATCCTAGAGGATCAACTAATACTTTATAGTGATTAATTGATGACTAACAAAAATATTTTCCAGGCTGTGAAAATTAGTGACTTTGTAACTCCTACTGCATTCAGAAGTCTGAATATTAAAGTAAAATACAGTATATTTTATGATGGCATCCAGGAAAAGCTGTATCAGTGTGAGTCATCAGTTATGTGTGTTATGGGTAATGAACTAAAGAAGGATCATGCCTAGAATCCCTGACCTAGGCATTGAGATTTTGCTTAGTTTATATTTACAAAAAGAAGAATAAACAAGCAGAGTAGATTAGCCAAACTGTAAGATACGGACTTAAAAATCATAGAAATTCTGCAAAATAAAATTCTCTCAGGTATTAAATAAGGGATGAAACAAAAATTTCAAAACTTTGCAATATTAAATCAGATAAGCTGATACATATGGAAATTCTTTATGAGCATTATTATCATGGAAGGGTGGTCCAGCAAATGTAGGGTTTCCCATTAGTGAATTGATGGCTTCCTTTAACTCTTCTACAATCTTGGCCATATATCTACTAGTAGAAGGATAATAGTGAGAATTTGGGGCTGAGAGTAAGGAAAATCTGGGTTAAACATAGTGATTTTGGTTATATCACTGGTTATTCACTTCGAACAATGCATCAACTCTAGTAAAAAGCAACAAGAAAACCTCTGTACCATCACCTTGATTATTTATATACATTCTAGTAAAAGCTAAAGATTCCCCTCTTATAACAAGCACAGACAACCATAAGTAGTAATCATTAATTGAGCATCTACTATGTTCAATCCATGTACCAATATTAACCCTGAATATAGTATTGCCTACCGTGCTCATTGTCCTTATAGGGAACTTTCTGTCCAATATCCCTTTAGGTAGTTAAATTTTATACCATATTGTAAATCTATTCTGCCCATCCCCTTAGTAGAAAAGCAAAGTTTAGTCACTTTACCCAAATACAGAGAATCAATAGGTTATACACCTAATCTATAACCCTTCTAGGAAACAAAATATGTGGTGGCCACCTGATTACCATTCTCATGCTATATATATTATATTATATAGAAATATAATAGTAGAAACTGAGGTAATTAGTGGGAGAGTTAAAGCTGGAAGGTCATGATAAGAAATGATGCTAGAGAGACCATGATAGAGCATATCTGTGTAAGTTTTGAGTGAGCAGAAATAAGTATACAAACATTGTGAGTAAAAAAATTAGAATACATGATGGCGATGTTAACAAAGAAACAGATGGAATTTGAAGTTCATTGGTATTAAGACACATCAGTCCACAAAATAATAGATTATTAGAAATGACTCTTTCATTTTCAAGTGACACAAACCCTGTATAAATCAGCTGATACAATGAAGTCCATAGGGAAAGTCTAGCTTAGAACTGAATCTAGGTACTAAAATGCTTATATCAGGAAACTTTATTGTAATTTTGCTTTTCTATGTGTTGGCTTCATTTTCTGACTGTTTCTCAATGAAAATAATTAGACTTACATTACACAAGATGTCATTTCCCAAGGAAAAAAAACGTGGTGGCATTACCAAAGAAAGGCTGAATGAGTGCTTGGCAGGCAAAAAAGCAAAGGCCTATTACCTTGAACCTGGTATTAGATTTTGGTGTGGCTATTTTCTGCTTTGTTTTATTTTCTAAACCACTGTATTGCGGTATTACTGACAAACAAGAAGTTTTACATATTTCATGTATATAACTTGATGAGTTTTGGAGATAAATATACATCCATGAAACCATCACCACATTCTATGTATAAACAACCTATCTATTGCTTCCAAAAGTTTCCTTCCCCTTCTTGTTTATGATGATGATTATTATTTATCTGTGATAACACGTAACATGAGATACAACCTCCTAGCATATTTCCAAGTATACAATACAACATTGTTAACCATAAGCACTATGTTGTACAGTAGATATTTAGGACCTACTCATCTTGTAAAACTGAAACTTCATATTATTTGACTAACACCTCCCCATTTTCCCTTCCCCCATCTCCTGGCAACCACCATTCCACTCTCTGCTCCTCTGAGTTTCACTGCTTCAGAGTCATCACATAAGTAATATCATGTAGTATTTGTCCTTTTCTGTTTCTGCCTTATTTTACTTAGCATAATGCCCTTCAAGTTCTTCCATGTTGTTGCAGATGGTAAGATTTCTTTTGTTTTGAAATCAGTATTTTGTATAAGGTGTAAGGAAGGGATCCAGTTTCAGCTTTCTACATATGGCTAGCCAGTTTTCCCAGCACCATTTATTAAATAGGGAATCCTTTCCCCATTGCTTGTTTTTCTCAGGTTTGTCAAAGATCAGATAGTTGTAGATATGCGGCGTTATTTCTGAGGGCTCTGTTCTGTTCCATTGATCTATATCTCTGTTTTGGTACCAGTACCATGCTGTTTTGGTTACTGTAGACTTGTAGTATAGTTTGAAGTCAGGTAGTGTGATGCCTCCAGCTTTGTTCTTTTGGCTTAGGATTGACTTGGTGATGCGGGCTCTTTTTTGGTTCCATATGAACTTTAAAGTAGTTTTTTCCAATTCTGTGAAGAAAGTCATTGGTAGCTTGATGGGGATGGCATTGAATCTGTAAATTACCTTGGGCAGTATGGCCATTTTCATGATATTGATTCTTTCTGTCCATGAGCATGGAATGTTCTTCCATTTGTTTGTATCCTCTTTTATTTCCTTGAGCAGTGGTTTGTAGTTCTCCTTGAAGAGGTCCTTCACATCCCTTGTAAGTTGGATTCCTAGGTATTTTATTCTCTTTGTAAGCAATTGTGAATGGGAGTTCACTCATGATTTGGCTCTCTGTTTGTCTGTTGTTGATGTATAAGAATGCTTGTGATTTTTGTACATTGATTTTGTATCCTGAGACTTTGTTGAAGTTGCTTATCAGCTTAAGGAGATTTTGGGCTGAGACAATGGGGTTTTCTAGATATACAATCATGTCGTCTGCAAACAGGGACAATTTGACTTCCTCTTTTCCTAATTGAATACCCTTTATTTCCTTCTCCTGCCTAATTCAAGATGGATTAAAGACTTAAACGTTAGACCTAAAATCATAAAAACCCTGGAAGAAAACCTAGGCATTACCATTCAGGACATAGGCATGGGCAAGGACTTCATGTCTAAAACACCAAAAGCAATGGCAACAAAAGCCAAAATTGACAAATGGGATCTCATTAAACTAAAGCGCTTCTGCACAGCAAAAGAAACTACCATCAGAGTGAACAGGCAACCTACAAAATGGGAGAAAATTTTCGCAACCTACTCATCTGACAAAGGGCTAATATCCAGAATCTACAAAGAACTCAAACAAATTTACAAGAAAAAACAAACAACCCCATCAAAAAGTGGGCGAAGGACATGAACAGACACTTCTCAAAAGAAGACATTTATGCAGCCAAAAAACACATGAAAAAATGCTCATCATCACTGGCCATCAGATAAATGCAAATCAAAACCACAATGAGATACCATCTCACACCAGTTAGAATGGCAATCATTAAAAAGTCAGGAAACAACAGGTGCTGGAGAGGATGTGGAGAAATAGGAACACTTTTACACTGTTGGTGGGACTGTAAACTAGTTCAACCATTGTGGAAGTCAGTGTGGCGATTCCTCAGGGATCTAGAACTGGAAATACCATTTAACCCAGCCATCCCATTACTGGGTATATACCCAAAGGATTATAAATCATGCTGCTATAAAGACACATGCACACGTATGTTTATTGTGGCATTATTCACAATAGCAAAGACTTGGAACCAACCCAAATGTCCAACAATGATAGACTGGATTAAGAAAATGTGGCACATATACACCATGGAATATTATGCAGCCATAAAAAATGATGAGTTCATGTCCTTTGTAGGGACATGGATGAAATTGGAAATCATCATTCTCAGTAAACTATCGCAAGAACAAAAAACCAAACACCGCATATTCTCACTCATACGTGGGAACTGAACAATGGGATCACATGGACACAGGAAGGGGAACATCACACTCTGGGGACTGTTGTGGGGTGGGGGGAGGGGGGAGGGATAGCATCGGGAGATATACCTAATGCTAGATGACGAGTTAGTGGGTGCAGCGCACCAGCATGGCACATGTATACATATGTAACTAACCTGAACAATGTGCACATGTACCCTAAAACTTAAAGTATAATTAAAAAAAAAGAAAAAAAGAAATCAGTATTTTGAAGAGATATCTGCAGTTTCTTGTTTTTTTGCAACATTATTTACAACATCCAGGCCCTGGAAGTAACCTAAATGTCTATCAATGGGTGAATGAATAAAGAAAATGTGGTACATACATACAATGAAATATTACTAACAGCTAACAAAGAAAAATGGTAGCTAGTTTTTTAAAGGTTATGAAAACCATATTAATGAATCAATCAATTTTTTTAACAAATTACTAACAAGACATATGCAAGTGGATATATTTATATATCATTATTATTCAATTAATCTACCAATATTGAATAACTATTATGTGCCTAATCCTGGTCTAGACTTTGGAAATAAGTAGTAAACACTCAGACAGAAATACAGATAATGAGTAAGCAAATAAAAAAGCAAGAAAACTATACAGACAATTAAAATATGGTGGAGGAATGAAAGGACTAGATGATGATATTTTTTAAGGGAAAATCTCTTCTGAAGATTTGATATTGCAGCTGAAAGCTGTCAAAAAGGAACCATCCAGTGTGTTCCAGGCAGATTAAAGAAGATAGCATCTGTTTATTTGTTATATTTGACTGTTATATGGTATTTAATTACTAGACATGGTAAACGAAAAAGTGCTTCCACAATAGTCTGTACTCATCAGATCATAACACTAACCAAATTTTCATGCAATTACTTATTTAACATCTTTATTCTTCACCAGAAAAATAAGCTCCATATTGACAGGAACTTTAGTTTTTGTTTGTTCGATTGTGTATCCCCACGGCTAACTCTTGGTATGTACTCAGTGGATGTTTTCAGAATGGCAGGCTAGATGCAAAAGAATTGACAATATTGAAAACCTGTCCTTGAGAACTTTCTCAAAACAAACAATTCAATTCTCTTATTTTAAAAAGAAACTATAATCAATGTTTTAGAAGACTGACAATGATTTTGAAAGTCTTTTAGAGTCATCCCAAACACAAGCTTTGTGTTTGGGAACTCTTCCAAGTGCTTGGTAAAAATCAATCTTTCCTCATTATAGAGCAATATTCCTGACACACACACACATATATATATATATATCAGGACACACACATATATATATATATCAGGAATATATATGTATATGTATCATCGTGTGTGTGTACATATATATATGTGTACATCTATACATACATATACTTATGTGTGTATGTATGTGTATATATGTGTGTGCATATATATACTTGTATATATATAATTTCCAGAATGTATAATACTGTATGCACATAATTCCAGAATGTATATATTCACATATATACACACATACATATATACATATACATACACACATACATATACGTATGTATAGATGTACACACATATATGCATATATGTATATATAGATGTACACACATATAGGCATATATGTATATATGTACACACACATATACATATATGTATATATGTACATACACACATATACATATGCATATGTGTATTTTATGCGCACATATATACATATGATATATATCCATATATACATGTATATATACACATACATATATACATATACATAGACATACATATATGTACATATATGTACACACATATACATGTATATATACATGCACACATATATACATATACATGCACACATATATATACATATGTGTATATATGTACATACACACATATATATAACGACAGTAATAAAATCTATAATCAGAATTGTGCAACTTTAAAAAATGCATGTTTCTGGTCTGTTTTCATCAGCAAAATTTATAGATCAAATGCATCAATATGTTGTAGAAGTCTTAGAATGGTGATGTTTCTGGCATTCAATTTTCGTTCCTGATTTTAATTTTGCTGATTTCCATGCTATTGCTATGGTGATAGGATTAGAAACAACCATTGTACAAGAATGGCGATGGGTCTGCAATTCCATGAGATTTTCTCCTATTAAAAAAAATATTACACATTCTGGAACTTACATGGAAATGGGCTAAAAATACAGAGAAGAAAGAATTTAAGAGTTCAGATGCGTGAAGGTAGAGAAAGAAACAAAATATATCAGTGAGGGAAATGCTTGAGCCTATGTCAAGGGCTTAAACAGAAACCATAAGAAATAGCCTTCAGAATGATGCTAGAAGGAATGTAAGTGATTGTGGTTAAAGATCACCTCTGGCTGAGCACTAAATGGGTTGTGGGGAGGAACAATATGGAGCATGATTGGGAGAATAAATAAAGTGTGTGTGTGTGTGTGTGTGTGTGTGTGTGTGTGACAGAGAGATAGAGAGCCAGAGAGAGAGACAGGTTGGATGATCTAGCAGAGTAAAAGGAAATTTGAAAAAGGAGGCAGAACAGACCATCTCACATTCCTCACTACTGGTCAGGTGTGAGCTGGTGAGGCTGGAAAAAGCTTTAAATTCACAAGGAGAATAGAAACTTCATTTTAATATTGAAAATAAAACAGTAATAACCTGAAAATTGTGGGACTTGTGTCCCACAAAGCTAACAACTATATCTATTTTCCAGGAAATGGCAAAGAATATCTGACAAGATACATTTGAAGAAAGAGGTGGAAAATACTAAGATTGTTTCTGATTATACCTGATCATGTTGAGCTCTTTAGCAAGACATTTATGATCTCTAATATTAATACTCTTTACCACAGTATTATTTAAAAAAAAAAACAGAAAAATAAATGGGACTCTATTTTTACTCTCAAAAACCATATAGTTTAAAAGTAGAAAAAAATTATAAGAATAAATTTACTGGGGGAAATGACAGTTTTCAAATTGCTCATAAGATACCGGCATTAAAGATAAGAGATTCTAAAATCTTCTTTCTTTTGCATGGTCATTAAGTTACCTTCCAGCTCCTCCCAGCTGAAGACAATAATCTTTGTAAGAAAGAAGACTGATGCTCACACCTGTAAGCCCAGCACTTTGGGAGACCAAGGCAGGTGGATTACGAGGTCAGCAGATCGAGACCATCCTGGCTAACACAGTGAAACCCCGTCCCTACTAAAAATACAAAAAATTAGCCAGGTGTGGTGGTAGGCGCCTGTAGTCTCAGCTACTCAGGAGGCTGAAGCAGGAGAATGGCATGAACCCAGGAAGCAGAGCTTGCAGTGAGCCGAGATCGCGCCACTGTACTCCAGCTTGGGCAACAGGGCGAGACTCTGTCTCAAAAAAAAAAAAAAAAAAAAAAAAAAAAGACTGATGAAAGCTGCAGTTATTTGCTTGCTTCTTATAATTCATTTTACTAAGTTGTAAATCTCCTGAAACAATTCATCTGTCTTTCATAGAGCAAGTCCCCAACAAATGCATGTCTGGTTGAGTAGCAAGCACTGTGGCTGAAATTTGAAATCCAGGCTTAAATGTGCCTCATTCATACTGGCATAACTACTATTAAAGTTAAGAAGAATATAAATGGAGAAATCAACTTAAACAAAGGTCAGACAAGAAGAGTGAGTAGTTGCTGGTAAGTGGGGGGAAAAGGAGAAAAACTACTGCAAAAGTGGACTAAAATATTTTATTAATTTTAAAAATGTGAATTCATTTCAGCAGCAAACTGGAGGCTGCTGACCAGGCAAAGAATAACAGATCATTGTATGTATTTGATTTAGGCAGTACACTAAATTTCCAATGAAATATCTAGATATGACTGCTTTTTATCACGGTTAGAATATTGATGCTATACACATGTGCAATGTCCATTCCATGTCTAATTTGATCAGATAAAGCAGGGACTTAGCCACCATCTTTGGGGGGAAGAAGACAGAACATCATATATTAAGAATAAATTAAAGTAGGTTAATTTGTTTTTTTTAAAAAAATAGAAAATTAAGAAACACATTGACAGAGCTATGAAATCAAACTGGCCTGCCAGAGCAGTACATATTCAAGTTCAGAATACCCTTCCAAAGAAAGACAAGCAAGGAAATATGGTAATGTGTAAAGAATACTAAGATTTAGCAATATCGTCTCTGTTTTTAACTAGCTATGTGACCCCCTCTGTGTTCTTCGGTTTCCTTCTGTGAAAAATGAAAGTGGAGGATGAATTAATCTTGTAGGTCTTCTTGTTCTATCATTCTATGTAGAGAGAAGGCTTTTACATGATGGAATGATCAATGGTATTTATTGTAACATCCAAACTAATTAGAGATGATTCAACAGCACCAAATATATGTGGGCTCATTAATAATCATAACACTGAAAACCATGCAATCTTTTTTTTTCATCTTTTTAAAAAGTGTTCAGTTCTCTTCTTGGGTACTCATAGGAGAATAATTTATATTAAGCTGTTGGCGTCACAGTTAATAAACCTAATGAAGTATAGCCGAGCTCCAGATTTCAGTTTTGATGTGGTTAATTGATTTTATGAAATCTTTAAGCGTATGAATGACAAATGTTTAGAAGTCACTCCTTGATCCCATTTTGTATGTTTGCAGTGACTTCAATTTGAAAACTCTCAATGGTGATTTTGCCTATTTATTTTTAACACAGATGTCTAATAACTTTCCCATCTTTTAGCCTAAATACAGCATCACTGTTTGCCCCAGGCAACAGGCAAAAATGATTGATAGCATTTCAAAATTCCAGAAGAAGCACAGAGGGTGCTTCACAGTTTCTGTCATAATTAATTGAGAGTCCAACAAGAACATATGTTTGTGTGGCATTACAATGGGAAAGTGTTAAAGGAAATGGAGTTATTTCCACTTGTAGCCAATGGTGGGCAAATGAAAGCAGAATCGGCCCTACAACACTGAGCAAAAGAAAATTAAAAAGTGAATCTATTTCAAATTCAGTCTGTTTGGCAACCTGTAATTCATAATTAACTGGTGTTTCAGGGCAGATTAATTACATAGTACTAACCATGCAATTATAAGTAAATTTATTTATTTCTTATTCTTCAGCATTTTAGGCAAGGGGAGCTCACCATACATGTTAATTAGTTTTAGATCCACTCAATGTAATTTCCATATAAAAGGTAGAGACGTGTAATTACCAAGTATTCAGTATTTAACAAGTATATGTTTCTCAGACTAAAGAAACGAGGTACAGTGCAAAAAGCAGGGTTTTAAAGTCAAACTTGTATTTGAATATTTGAATCCCATTTTCTCCACATTATTATGGACTTTCTCATCAGTAAGAATAGAGTTGCTGTATTGATTAAATATGCGATCACTTAATTTATCTCTAGCTATATAGCACAGGTATAGTCACTGAAATCATTTTTCAGCCTGCTCAGATACCTCACAAGTCTTCGTGGCTTGACTATTCTGTTCCTTCTGCCTGATACAATATTTATGTATTTCTACAGCTGTTTAGTTCCATCTTGTTTTTCATGATCTAGATAAAGATTCAGCCAAGTATGGCCAGTGGGTCAAATTTACCATCACCATCCACCACAAAGATTCCTAAATAAAGTTTGATTGGAACACAGCCATACCTATTCATTTAAGTATTGTTCATGGCTATTTTCATACTACAACAGCAGAGTTGAATAGTTGTGACCAAAAACTGCATGGCCCACAAAGCTTAAAATATTTTTACTTCAGGTATTTTTCCTAATACCTAATGTAAATGATGAGTTAATGGGTGCAGCAAACCAACATGGCACATGTATACATAGGTAACAAAACCGCACATTGTGCACATGTACCCTAGAACTTAAAGTATTTTTTAAATATATATATGTATATATATATTTGCTATGTAGCAGATAGTAAAAGTTTGCCAACCCTTGATTCAGAAAATGCTCCATATTCTCTATGCTTCATTTCCTGACCAACAACATGTTTGTTTTGATATATTTGTGCTGTACATTAACTGTATTTTCACACGAGCACCGAGAAGTGGAGACTGCATTTCAGTGTTCTTTTGTCTCCAGTCTGCTTAACATAATATCTGACACTCAAATACTTTTGGTTTGAACCTAAAAATAAATTAGTAAATTTATATAGTCAGCCCTCTGAATTCATGAGTTCTACATTTGTGGATTCAACCAACCTTAGATTGAAAGTGTAGTTAGGCCTAGGACAGGATGTTGCAACTGTACTAAACATATACAGATTTGTTTTTGGTCATTCTGCCTAAACACTACAGTACAGCAACTACTTACATAGCATTTACATTGCATTCAGCATTAAAAGTAATCTAGAAATCATTTAAAGTATATGGGAGAATATGCATAGGTTTTATGCAAATACAATATTACATAAGGGACTTGAGCACCCACAGATTTGGGTATCTGTAGGGTTTGGGAGTTCCTAGAACCAATCCCCCAAACATGAATACTGAGGGATGACTATATATAGATTGGATGTAAGTCTAGATAGAACACAAATTAATATTTTTAAAGTGTTTACATGGAAAAATATACATGTACATAGACACAATATACTGAAAAAGAAGTTCTGAAAGCTAAATGTACATGCTTATTTCTCAGAACAAGAATTCAGACCTCTGATTAAAGGACAAAGGACTCAACAAGCTTTAATATTGATTTCTGCAGTGGGTTTCAGCTCTTTTGTGACCTGTTCTAGATTTGTTACACAGTTGTGTCTGTGTGTGTGTATGCATGTGTATGGCTTGAACAGAACAGGAGATTATTTATTTCATTGATATAAAATCTGACATAGAGCAAATTTCTTCCAGACTAAAATCATTCCCATTCTGTACTTTCTGGTCTCTTAGCTTTAATCTCCCCTGCATATAAAAGTGCCATAATTCCAAATATGACTGAATATTACCTGCGTTATCATTCTTAATTTATACAATATGTATTTAAATTATTCCTAATCTAGAGGATATTTTTGAACAGAAAATATCTAAACAGGTTATAAAGTTCAGATCATTTAATTTTCTCTCATGTAAAACAGGATCTATTTACCCCATTATAGAAAAGAGTATTTTGTCTGTTGTTAATTACAAATGCTAAATTATTATGTTGCATGAAAGATAGACAAAAATATTACCTGTCTCAATTACTGCCTGTATTAGTCCATTTCACACTGCTGATAAAGACATACCTGAGACTGGGAAGAAAAAGAGGTTTAATTGGACTTACAGTTCCACATGGCTGGGGAGGCCTCAGAATCATGGCAGGAGGAGAAAGGCACTTCTTACATGGCTGCAGCAAGAGCAGATGAAGAAGTAGCAAAAGTGGAAACCCCTGATATATCCATCAGATCTTGTGAGACTTATTCACTATCGCAAGAATAGTACCGGAAAGACCGGCCCCTGTGATTCAATTATCTCCCCCTGGGTCATTCCCACAACACATGGGAATTCTGGGAGATACAATTAAAGTTGAGATTTTGGTGGGGACACAGCCAAACCCTATCACTGCCTGTATTGTTATTAGTGTGTTTCTTTTTGGTAATCAGCATGATCTGTATAAGAGATATTTCCAAACTGATTTCAAAGACAGCTTTTGGTTTTGTCCGCTTTACTTGCTTTGATTGGACAATGACAAGGTCAGAAACCTTTTGTAAACACTGAGACTGTCTAGATTAATTACAATCCTTAATAAAGTGAAATGGTATGTAAGTAGTCGCTATACCACAGTGTTAGCTTTAATTTTACTTAATCTGTCAGGGTATTGTGACCTCACTCTTCATGCCTTAAAAATAGTGGCCACCACTTTGTTTAATCTTTTAAGGATTTACAAACTTTGTTCAAGTTTCTACCCTTTTATATGTGTGGGTAAATTAGGCCACTGTAACTGTCATTATTTTTTGTTTGTTTTTACTCCTTAATGTCTTCTGTAAGTGATTTACATCCATTAAAGGTTAACATCATGATTACTCAGGCTTTGGTTTACCTGCTCTGGTGTATGTTTTCCCAGTATAAAATGTTGCTCTCCCAACATTCCTGGGGCATCACTCTAATGCCAGGATGTATTAATGCCTTAATAAACATATTCCTCCAAAGTGAATCATGGCTGTCCAAAATTAATTGCCATAAAAATGGAGATTATAATCAAGATTATCTATTACATGTGCACTGAGGCACAACAGTTAAAATGGAGACTGTGTGTAGTTATTGAGGTCATGAACAGCCACTACCCTTATGTTCATTGCTTAATTATTAGCAACTATTTATAACGTATGCCATTTCTTACGTGCTACCTG